>NW_003315936.1:0-154407 GCF_000001405.40 Homo sapiens
GAATTCCCTTCTCTTTTATTTTTGAAAATAGTTTCAGGAGGCTTGTTATTAATTCTTAGTTGTATTTTTGGTATAATTTGTGAATTCATCTGGTCCTGGGCTTTTCTTTGTTGTGAGACTTTTTATTGTTCTTTCAACTCACTAGTCATTACTGGTTTTTTTCATATTTTCTATTTATTCTTCATCTAATCTTGGTAAATTGTATGTTTCCAGGAATGGATCCATGTCTTCTAGATTTTCCAGTTGTATAATTGTTAATAATAGTCTCTCATAATCTTTTGCATTTCTGAGGTATCAGTTGTAATGTCTCATTTTTCATTTTGGATTTTATTCGGATCTCCTTTGCTTGCCAAGTCTAGTGAATGCTTTATCAGTTTGTTTAATCTTTTTGAAAAACCAGCTTTTAATTTTATTAATCTTTTGTCTTGAATTTACTTTATATTTTATATAGTTATGCTCAGATCTTTACTATTTCTTTTGTTAATTTTGCAGTAAGTTTGCTCTTGCTTTTCTAGTCTCTTGAGACATTTTGTTGGATTGTTAATTTCTAAACTTTCCCCTTTTTGTGTAAGCATTTATTGCTATAAATGTCCCTCTTAGCACTGTTTTTGCTTTATCCTACATGTTTCTGTATGTTGTGTTTTCATTGTCATTTGTTTCAAATAATTTTTTTATTTTCATCTCAGTTTTTTCATTGACACAATGGTCATTCAGGAGCATGTTGTATAATATATATATATATATATATAAACATATATATAATTATATATATATAAACCATATATATATGGTTTCCAAAGTTTTTACTAGTATTAATTTTTAGTTTTCTTTTATTATAGACTGAGAAGATACTTGATTAAATTTTAATTTTAAAAAATCCTCTTAGAGTTTTTTGGTGGCCAAACATATGGGCTATGCTGGAGAATGTTTCATGTTCATATACATTCTTTAAATCAGAACATGAAACATTCTCCAGGATAGCCCATGTATTAGGCATATGGGCTATAATATGGACTAGCATAAGTATGAATGCATGTGGTTTTTAGATAGAATGTTTCATAATGTTTCTTAGATCCATTTAATCTAAAGTCCAGTTTATATCCAATTTTTTTATTAATTTACAGACTGTAGGATCTGTCTAAGGCTGAAAATGGGATGGTGAAATACTCCACTAGTTGATTTCAATATCATTACATAATGACTACTTTTTTGCTATTCTTAAGTTAAAATCTGTATATCTAACACAAGCATAGCTACTCCTGCTCACTTTTGGTTTCCATTTTCATGCAATATCTTTTTCCATCCCTTTCTTTCACTCTATATGTATCTTCACTGGTAAAGTGAGGGTTTTTTGTTTTGTTTTGTTTTGTTTGTAAGTAGCATATAGTTGGAGCATTTTTTAAATCCATTTTGCCATTCCATATCTTTTAAGTCCATAATTTAACTTGTTTACATTCAAGATTATTATTGATATGTAAGACTTTGTTTCTGTTATATTATTAATTGTTTTGTTTGTTTTGTATATTCTTTATTCCCATCCTTTTTTTCTAATGTTTCATGATTGTGATTTGGTGTATTCCTGTAGTGGTATCATTTGAGTAGCTTCTATTCCTCATTTGTGCGATTGCTTTCATAGTTTGTACACTTGTTTTCATGATGATAAATGTCATCTTTTTGCTGCTAAGTTTGGGACTCTCTTGAACATTTCTTTTAGGGCCAGTCTAATGGTAATGAATTCCCTCAACATTTCATCATCTGGGAATTATTTTATTTTTTCTTCGTTTATGAGAAAAATTTCGTTGGATATAGTATACATTGGGGATAGTTCCTTTATTTTAGGACTTTGAATATATTATCCCATTCTCTTATGGACTGTGAGGTTTCTGCTGAGAAATTTGCTGTTAGACTGATAAGATTTCTTTTATAGGTAATTAGGCACCTTTCTTTTGTTGATTTTAGGATTCGCTCTTTATCTTTGACTTTACACAGTCTTATTATAATGTGCTCTGCAGAAGACATTTTTGCATTGTATCTATCTGGGGGTCGTTGAGCCTTCTGTGTGTGAATGTCTAAATCTCTTGCTAGACTTGGGAAGTTCTCATCTATTATTTTACTGAATAGGTTTTCTAATCATTTCTTTGTTTCCACTTCCTTGAGGATACCAATAATTGATAAATTTGGTCACTTTATGTTATCTCAAATGTCATAAATGTTTTGCTTATTCTTTTTTATTTCTTTCTTTCTTTCTTTCTTTCTTTTTTTAAGAAGGAGTTTCACTCTTGTTGCCCAGGCTGGTGTGCCAGGGTGCAACCTTGGCTTACTGAAACCTCCACCTCCCAGATTTCCTGCCTCAGCTTCCTGAGTAGCTAGCAGTACAGGCACCTGCCACCATAACTGGCTAATTTTTGTATTTTTAGTAGAGATGAGGTTTCACCACGTTGGCCAGGCTGGTCTCGAACTCCTGAGCTCAGGTGATCTGCCCGCCTCAGCCTCCCAAAGTGCTGGGATTGCAGACGTGAGCCATCGCGCCAGGCCTCTTTATTTTTATCTGACTGAATTATTTCAGGATATCTGTCTTCAAGTTCTGAGATTTGTTTTTCTATCTAATCCAGCCTATTGTTGAAGATTTTAAGCCTTTTCCCATTTAGAAAAAAAAAGTACAACTCACTGCCAGTACTCATTAAATTTTACATAAACATACTTTTTGAGGCTGACGCAAATCCAACTGATTTTCAATGTGAAAATAAAATATAAAAACTGTTCTTGGAGTTATTTCATCAGAATCTCTTTTCTTTTTTTTTTTTTCTTTTGACAGTCTTGCTCTGTCGCGCAGGCTGGAGTGCAGAGGCACCATCTCAGCTCACTACACCCTCTACCTCACAGGTTCAAGAGATTCTCATGTCTCAACTCCCCGATTAGCTGAGATTACAGGTGTGCACCATCACACCCAGCTAATTTTTATATTTTTAGTAGAGAGGGTTTTCACCATGTAGGCCAGGCTGTTCTCGAACTCATGAGCTCAAGTGATCTGCCTGCCTTCATCTCCCAAAGTGCTGGGATTACAGGTGTGAGCCACCACACCCTGTCCTGTGGTTGTTTTTTAAACTACCTGTCTTTTTATTAGATTTCTCAGTCATATCCTAAGTTAGTTTTCTATTTTTCTGTATTTTTCCTCATAATTATCTTGTATCTCACCGAGTTTTTAAAAATAAATATTTTGAATTCTTTATCCTGAATTTTGAAAATGTGTTTTTGTTTAAGATCTATTGCTGGAGAATTATTTTATTTCTTCAAAAGTGTCATAATTTTCTGCTTCTTAATGTTTTCTCTTCCTTTACATTGATATCTTCACATCTGATGTAATAGTCATTTCTTTTTATTTTTGAATTTTCCCTCATAGGGAAAGACTTTTTCTTTTTCATTCTTTTTTTCTCTCTCTCTTTTTTTTTTTTAAGAATGTACAGGTTTGTTACATAGGTAAACATGATGTGCCATGGTGGTTTGCTTCACCTATCAACCAGTTACCGAAGTATCAAGCCCCACACGCATTAGCTATTTGTACTGATGCTCTCCCTCCCCTTACTGCCCGACAGGCTCCAGTGTGTGTTGTTTCCCTCCCTATGTTTATGTGTTCTCATTGTTCACCTCCCACTTATGCGTGAGAACACGCAGTGTTTGGTCTAATATCCAGAATTTACAAGGAACTTAAACAAATTTATAAGAAAAAAACAAAAACAACCTCATCAAAAAGTGGGCAAAGAACATGATCAGATACTTCTCAAAAGAAGACATTTCTTTGAAGATTTATCTGTGCTGATGGTTAGGTGGGGTACTTGACTTTGATTCTGTGTGTGTGCAATAGTGTAATCTCTGTATCATTTTGTTGGCTGTAAATAGCATTAGTGGTCTCTATGAATTTCTCAGTGTGCTAGGGTCTGGTTAAGAGTGGAGGCTGTTTTAAAGTTGTGCTGGGGATGGGGATGTCAGGTAGGCTAGTCTTCAGGCCTCAGCTGTGGCAGAGGTGAGCTGTGTATGCCTGTCTTTGTACCACAGGACAATATACACTGGCACTGGTATTGGCTGTTAGTAGTCGGCTGATTCTTTGGCCTCCTGGTGGCTTTCTTGGATGCTTGTAGTGAAAGTGGTAGATCTACTGGGCCAGTGGGTTCTCATGCCCTTCTGCACCCAGTGTGGCATGGGTGATGGCAGTAGCAGTGGTGGGATGATTCTATAGGTTTCAAATGTTGTATATTGATATTTGCAATGACTGCTATGAGCTGGGTGGGAATGTGTTTAGGCCTGCAGTTGCTACTTACAAGTAGTTGCCAGCTGAGGTGCAGCAGCCAAGTGTTTAGGTTTAACCTCAGGCCCCTCAGAGGAGTGCTTATGTGCCTATGATTATGGATTTGGTTGGGCAATTCCCAGGACCCCAGGCTATGTGCTCTGTTTTGGAGGGAATGGCGAAGCCACTCTGGGTGGACTAGGCCTCAGGCACCCTAATAATAAGAGTAGGTTCCAGCCCCAGTGGACAGGAGATGGGTGATTCTCAGGCCCCAGCAGAGGGCTCAGGTGAGGGCAGTAGCAGCCATGAAGAAGCCCTATTACTGGAGAAGGTGGGACCATTCACCTTTGCCACAGCCTGAGATATGGGTGGGGAACATATTTTTTCTTTATATTTCAGCCTCTGGTCTGGTGATCGTAGCCTGCACTTAACTTCTACACCCAATCAGGCTGCAGGAGCCTCCGCCCAACTCAAAACCAAGTCCCAGCAGCAATTCACATCCTCATCTCAAATCCCAGCAGCACTTGCTTCCTGGCACTGGCCAGTGTTGCCCCTGCCTCTCTTGCTTCCTAGCCCTGGCTGCAGAATGCTCCTAGCTCATTCCAAACTTGTTCTTCTATCTCAACAATTGACAGCACAACTTTTCGTATTGCCCCTATCCCAGTGCCACTGGATCCCAGGACAGCATGTAGTTTGCTAATGGTTAGGTTTGAAAATGATGTTTTGCTTTACCTGCTTTGGTCTGGTCTCAGAATGGATGTACGGCCCCTTACAAGCTCCCTCCCTGGGGAAGTTCTGTCCCACCATCTCCTGGCAGCTTTCTATTTCAGTTTCAGAGGTTGGGAGGGCCAAGCAGTTTTCCTGCAGCCAAGATCGCATGATTCCATGGTGGTAAGCCTCTTACTTTGGGTAAGCATTACTCTTATCTCCAGTTTATAGTAAGGAAATTGAGAGAATATTTAAAATGCCCAGGATCACACAGTGGCTAATTCAGAGATTTAGGCTTTGAAGACGGGATGTCTGGTTTTATATTCTGTGCTCTTAACCCCTATGCTATACAAATTGCCTAGCACAGAGTTCATGACCATTAAATACTTAAAACTCTCTCTTCCACTGACTTGGTTCATATACTAGACAACAAATTAATTTTAGGATGCATATTTAAAAATTCTTGTCACCAAATTTTAATAATCTGTGATCCCTTCTTGCTAATTAAAATCCAAAGCTGCTTAGCTTTCTGGCTATGGTATAAATCACCTCCTTTAATATTTTTCATCACATTTTTATCTCTTCTTCTGCAGAAGCCATCCCTGGATGATTGAAGTCTTTTTTCCACATCTTGTTGGAATGCTTTAAATATTTATAATTTTACTTTTTATTTAAAATTTAAAGTAACTTTTTTTCCTCTTTGATCTCATGATAATACACATTCTCCCAGTTTTATTTGTATCTCTATTATCAAGTTTTATTTTTTTTCCTGACCCCTACTGCACTGGCCTTCTAAATGTTGAAGTTTTTCCACCTGGACTAGATCTGTACATGTCTACATATTCATTTACATTACATCAGGAAAGCCAATATTTATCCGATAAAAATGCATATAACCAGAATTGGCACCACTGTTATTTCAGGGCACAGAGTAGATTTAAGGACTCACTGCTGAAGCCATCACCCCCTTATATTGCATGCCTTCTCTTTCACTGTATGTTTTATTCTCAATGATGTTTACACATTCGCCTTCCTGTGGTTACCAGCTCTCTCTATATATACACCTTTTTATAGTCTCTTAGCTTCGTTTTGTACTACTCCCACTGCTAAAGGATTCATTTTTTTGAGTTATCTAGCTCAGATTTTTAAGACAGTAGACATTTATGTTATGTGACACTTTCTGTGATCTGGCAGCTGCCTCCATCTATAGCCTCATTTTGAGTTATGTACTCCCAGGGTCACTGTATTCTATCATATTGCTCACTTTCTGGTACTAAAATGCCTCCAGACTTATCCCACCTCAGTTCCTCTGTTCCTGTTTTTTTTTTTTTTTTTCCTTCTGGAATAGCTTCTGCTCTAATTTTGCATGGCTAACACTTTCTCATCTAAAATAACACATTTCTTGACCATTTGATCTACTAAACCCTTTCAAAGACATTTCAAATTCCTCTAGTTTGTATACAGCATTTATAATTATCAAAATGTATGTTAACTGTTCGTTTATTTGATTTCCTTTTTAGTACATATTTCCTCCCATCAATACCAGAGCTCAAAGATCATGGCAAGAAAGACAGATTTTTTCTTTCATAATTATATCTGCAACACATTCTGCTCAATGTTTGACCAAGTTATTTTATTTTTAACATAAGTTAGCACTATTTAATAAGATATTAAACTAGACACATCTCCAAATTTTTTAATCATTTTAGTTAAAGTAAATATGTATTTTTCGTTTTTAAAATGCTTCCACTTAAACAAACTTCTATGAGCTGGGAAGATACAGAAATGTCCTGCTCATATCTGCCTGCAGGGAAGATTAGCTATCAGTATTTTGAAAACTGTTCTCATTTGTAGAGGGCCACTCTAGCCAAGGCAATGCTCTTCTCAAGGCAGCCCACATTTGGTAATCAAGATGTGATGTTAAAGATGCCTGGCCATTTTTTGATTTTATCTTCATTTCATTCTCAAGTATTGGTCCCTAATAGATAACTTACACTACTCCTCCTTTCTAAACCTAAAAGAGTTGATACAGGAAGTAGTTCAAGATGAAATTTGAGAGTAGAATCATTCACCACTAGCATGGCATTAAGGAACATACCCCTGGTAGTAGGTAGTTCAAAGTTGAAGTCAAATTGTTAAAATAATGTGGTGATGAATTGAAATTATCCCAGTAGGAGGAAATGCACAAGTAAATGTAATACTTCAGGCATTGAAGAGTTATATAAACAAAAATAGCAATAAATTAACTGATTAAGTGGCTACTGCCAAGCACCAATGATGCTCTACAGAAGATATGAAACATATGAGGGCAATAAACAGGCAATTGAAAGCCAGGTGTTAAAAAAAAAGCATCATTTAGCTGCATATGAAGAAACCTAATCTCCTGCAGAGAAAAAGTAGAGAAGGCCAAAAATCAAATACAGGAATTTGTATTCTGAAAAAATAAACATGAAATAAAATTAAATGCCCAACAAAGACAGCTTTAATATTCCAAGCTTATGTCCCTCTTGGGGAAATGCTAGGCTATTGAATATGACATAGAGATATAGAGAATAGCCCTGAAAATTCTGACTCCTTGAATTTTTAGCCTACAAAAGTCTTCATTCTTCTCTAGCGAAAGCCAGCACGTTTTCCTTGTTAGTTAACAATACAGAAGCTTTTCTTCCCCAAATAAATAACTGAACCCATACCCTCTCCATTCCTGGTCACAAGTCAGGTCAATAAATAATGTTATGTAGCATTAGGCCCTGGCATGGAGTGGGCTGGTTCTGATAGGAAAGTTAAAATTTGTACCTCAAAAAAGCCAGTGTAATACACATGATAATATATTCTCAAAATGCTTGATCAAGGGAGTTGGAACATAACATTAGATAGGAAGATTATTGATTTGGTTGCACTGTCCCAAGATTCCCTAGACTCTGGCAAGAAACCTAGAAAATGGTATGAATCTATTATTAGGATCACTTCTAGAATGGAACAAGTGACTTATACTGAGAAAAGATGAAATTTTGGAATATCCATTAGTGGAGCAGAAAGCTAATGGAGGTACTTATATTAGAATAAATATACTATGCATGTTCTGGAAGAACTAATAGATGTTGTATTCCATGAGGAGTCATAGGTTATACATTATTTACCAAAACCATTTAATATGTTGGTGAGAAGGCACAAGCATCACTCGGAATTCAGTGATGTTTCTCTTCTGTAGGTCAAGACTAACGGGTGGACTAATTTTTAGCCTACAAAAGTCTTAGATAATCTGGCTCACTGAGAGCAATGGAGGTAATAGAATCAAGCTTCCTCTCAACAGGGGGCAGGGGGCATCACTTAATCACACACTTCAGGTGAATACAATTATTACAATTCCCAGGAAGGTGAGAGTGTGAGTCAAGAGGTCGTGGACCACAGAGAATTACAGAGAAATATAATGGACACGGCATCCTGAGGGAAAAATAGATTGGTAGCATTAAGTGTATTCCTCTTATTGTGCCAGTAAAAAAATAATCAAGTATTAATAACCAATAGCTTGATAGTAGTTAACTCAATAAGAATGATCTTAATGTAGTCATTGGATCTTGGGTCTAAAGAACCAGCTCAATCCTGAGTAAGTATTGGACCCAAGGTCAATGATGGAAATATGTCTATGTCCCCAGGAGATAGAAACTTGTTAGACTAAGTATACATTATAATGAATTCCTCAGTTATTTCTCCAAGGAATTTAGGATCATTTATCTGCTAATTGCACAAAGGGGAAGAGGGAATAGTTAGACATTGTAAGTAATCTTGGACGTGAGGACTGAGTTGAATTTGAAACTCAGAAACTCAAAGTGTCAACATGATATCTCTCTGAAAGTGGAGTCATGTGAGATTCAGGTAATAAATGGAATCCTAGACAAGGTATGCTTTGTAAAGGGTTTACTTGGTTTGTAAACCCACCTATTGGCCATTTTCCTCTTCCATAAATGTACAATTGGTTTTGACATATTTGGTCATCCATAAATATACAATTGGTTTTGCAATATTTGGTAGGTGGTGCAACTCAAACATTGCTCTCTTTTTCTTTTGGAAAAGACCTATCATAGCAGGGAAGGGCAAATAAAAGGCTCTGAAACTACTTCCTCTAATCAAGCAATATTTTATCTCTCAGAGCATGATAGAGTTGGTATTACTCTTAAAGATATAACTATGGCGGTCTCCACTTAATTCCTGAGTCTGCTTCTATAGAAAACAGAGTACTACTAAAAGATGAATGCAGATCACTTCAAGTTCACCCAAATAGTAGCTTTGATTGCAGCAGCCTTATAATAACATGGCTAGGACAGATTACTATGACTTCAAGTATATATCATGTGGCCATTAATATGGCAAACTCATCATTTTCTACCCTAATCAATAATGAGGAACAGAATGAGTGTGCGCTTTCATAGAAAAGACAACAATATTTTTCCTCTTGGCCATGATAACTCTCCTACCTTCCTTTGCAGTATACTTTGAAAAAGTCTGAACAGTGTGGGTATTCTGAAAAATAACACATATACTTATTGCATTGATAATATTATGTTAATCTGGCCTGATGAGCAAGATATAGCTAACAAGCTGAAGGTCTTGTTATGACTCAAATACTGAAGTGTGTAGGAGAGAACCATACTGATATATTTAAGAGCCCCAAAAGGTCAGAGGCATGTCAGAACATCCCATATAAATGACAGACATTTTTGTGTTATTTGTATAACACATTTTTGTGTTATTTGTATAACACATTTTTGTGTTATTTGTATTTTAGTATTTTACACCTTCTACTACAAAGAAGAAAGCACAATGCTTGTTAGAGTTTTTTAGGTTTTGTGGAAAATACATTCAACATATTTGGATATTACTCTGGCCCATATACTGGGTGAAATAAAAGGCTTCCAACTTTGGGTGTGGCCTGGAAAAATAAAATAATATTCAGTAGTTCCAGACTGTGATGCAAGTAGTCCTAAATGTTATGCCATACAAGCTGGCATATGACATATGATTCAATATATTCCATGTGGAGTTTGTGGTAAGTGCCCATGAGAAAATTATAATGCTGACCCATGCGGTTCTAGACAAAGCCATGCCATCTGGAGTGAGAAGAATAATACTTTTTTTTTTTTTTTTTGGCAAAACAGTTCCTGTTATGCTATAAAGTGCTGGCAGACTTAACTCCTGAAACACCAAATGGCTATTTGGCCAGAACCACTCATAAACTTTTGTGGCTGAGCTACTAACTATTGTAAAAAGGAGGCATTATACCTGAGATTGTGTGCACACACATGACCAGGGGTTTCAGCAAACTATATGAGCAGGTAACCCGGACCCCCATGGGACTTACCACTCCTACCAATGTTCATTCTTCAATCTATACTTACAACTTATAGGTAATCTCAAGTATCCCCCTGGTGGAAATAAGCCTGAACTAATTTTATAGATAAGTCAATTCCATACATGAGTGCAAACTGAAAAACACATATCCACACTAAAGGTGACCTTGAAAGACAGTGGAAAGGAAAATGCTTTCCATTGGGCAGAAGTTCAAACATTGCATGTGTCTTTCAACCTTGTGTGAAAAGAGAAGCTTACCCAAATTTAGAACATATGCTCACTCATATTCATGGAAAATGACTTCTTGGCTAGTCAGAGGGCTAAACAAAAATATTTGAAGATTATAAATAAGTAGGTTCAGGAAATAGGCATATGGATAGATATATGGGCTTGGGCACAAAGTATAAAAATCTTTGTATCCTATATGAATGCCCATAATAGAGCATCTACTGTGATAGAGGCACTAAATACCCAAATAGATAGAATGATCTGTCCTGGTGGTATCAGCCACAGTGCCCATGGCCACTCCAGTAATAGCATAATAGGAAACTGGACCAACTGACCAAAATGGTGGAGATTGAAGAGATACATGAGCCTAAAAGCATGAATTCCCATTATCAAGTCTAATTTAGTTACTGTTGCTTCCACATGTCTAAAAACTGCTGGCTAGTAGACACCAGTGCTGAGCCTCTGATATAGAACTTCTCTTTGATATGACTAATCAGCCACTTGGTGTCAAGTTGATTATATGGGTCTCTTAATAGTTCCTGAGGTTTTTTTTCCTCAGGAATAGACACATATTCCATATATGACTATAATTTTCTTTCTCATGGGCTTCTAGGTAGCACCACTATCTGAAGATTTATTTAGTCTTTGATCCACTAGCGTGAGATCTGATATAATATTGCTCCAGACCAAGGAGGCATTTTACAGCCAAGGGGGTCTGTGAGACAGCCCATGATCATGATCATGAGATCTGTTGGTCATATCACATGTCAACCAAAACCAGGTGACCCGATAAAACATTGTAACAACCTGCTAAAGTCAAAGCTCAACCACCATATCAGAGGCAGTACTTTTTAAGGATGGATTGACACTGCATAGGATGCATATACACATTAAAGGAAAGATATAGGGTGCTGTCTCCCCAGTGCAGAAAATATATGGATTCTGGAACCACCAGGTGTTTGTAGTAATGCCCCACACTCCATAATTTCCTGTGAACCACTTGGGATAATTGTACTCCCATCCCTGCAACTCTGGTTGTGTAATACTAGAAATGCCATTCCCTAATGAAAGAAAGATTTTGCTAGAGGCTATGTGTTAATCTGGATTATAATCTATGGCTCCTGCTTGGACATTTTGCATCAATGGATTAGCAAGCAAGACAAGAAACTACTGCTTAGTAAAGGTAATAGATTTTAATAATCAGAAGGAAGCAGGGCTGCAATTTCATAGTAGGGGCAAAAAGGAATGCGTGTATGAGACTCAAATGATTCCCATTGCTGTCTCTTTATACCTTTATATTCATTCATGACTGTAAATGAAGAGGTACAATCATGCCAGCTTGGGAAGTGTATGGTAGACAGGGCTTTAAATACCTTGGGGATAAAGAACTTCAAAAGGTGTTTGCTGACAAAGGGGGATCTGAAATGGAGAATACAAGAGGGAAATCTGTGTGTCAATTGAAGCACTGAGAAAAACTCTAGTCACCTTTTTATCACCTTTCATTTTCATGTTTTCTCTCAGGAAGAGGACCAAAAACCCTAGAGGGTCAGACACTCAAATATATAGAGAAAAGTGGATTTGAGTAGACTTTCTTATGCTGACCATATCCATGTTCAAGAAAGTAGTTGCTGTCCAAGGGTGGAGAGAGAAGTATGCAGACAATATATAGGTGTGTGCTCCCCAGGGTCATTCTATTCAGGAGATGATCATTTCCCTCAATGCCATGTACTTCTCAGGGGAGCTTGCAGACAGTGATTTAGAGAGGCAGAGGTGTAAAGCCCTGCCATTTCAGCCTGTCTCAGGACAACTCTAACATGCTATATTCACTCCAGAAATCCCTTCGTGGTTTTTGAAGGCTTAGTTTAGTCTGTTTCAAAACTCAACTTCTTCTTGTTTGATCCTGTTTTCACACTGTTTGTGGATTCAATGTCTAATAGCATCCTATAGCCAATCTCCATCTCATGGTTACATTCTGGAAAAAACAACATAGAATAGTATGCTACCTCTTTTGGATACATTGGATGACTAGCCTTCTGCTAAAAGAAACAAATAGATGTCTCTTTATATAAAAGGTTATTAAATTTGAGATCATGGTTGGATCTTAGAAGGCCAGGGAATTCTAACCTATTTCAGGTAAGTGGTGTATAGATTTATGTAGTGGTGATTTACCTGTGTTTATTGCATGTTAATTTTTTCCAAGAATAGGAAGCACATATATTTACAAGAAGGAATACATAATTTTTACTCAATTTCCAAACTGTGTGTGATTAAAATAAGTTTGATTTACTGCCGTATATGCAGAAAGTATATTTTTTGATGATCTTAAATATCTAACTGCTTCAGAGATGACAGATAATAATTTAAACAGTTGAACATTTGTTCTATATATGTTCCAATAAATTAATAACATTTTTATTAACACTATGTGCAGATATAGAATTGAGGATAAAATGTTCATGAGCTGAGGGAAGTGTAAGAAAAACGGTGAATAAACCTCCTTCAGAAACTTCCACTAGAGATGTTTACCATATGGTTTTGTTTATATTATTTTATCTGTGAGGATACACAATATTTTTTTCACAAATAAGAAAAAGATGTTTTTTGATGTAGCCAGGAAGCATTTTGAAAGCATTTTCTGGCTTATGCTGCCAAAATTGAATTTGCTTCATATATTTGAGAATACCAGAGGCTAATTTCTTGGTAATTTTATTAATAAGTTACAGAATGTAAATTATATTCATTATGTTATTGAAGCTATTTCAAGATGTCTGAGGGTTTGGCAGTTACTTTCATACCCTGTAGCTTCCTGGACTTAGTAATTAATCAGCTTTGACTGCTCCAGATGTAACTGACTTTGAAGAATAATCTCACAAAAGATCACAATCACACAGATGCATTAGTTGTTTAGCATTCTTGTTTTTAAGATTTAAATAATCTTAGAGTCTTCATTTAAATTATTAAAATAAGTATAAATGTATTTTTATGCAAAGATTAGAATTTGCATAAGGATTAGAATTTCTTTGTTCAGTCCACTATTTTCCAATAGAAAGTAATAGTCACCGTATACTAATATGAATAACATTTTTAATTAACGTGCAAAGAATGCTAGAATTAATTTCAGTGATGCAGCACTGTAATGACATTCAATAAAAGAAACAAGGAAACTACTGAAGGTTATAGATACATATTTTCCAATTATTCTGACCATCTTCTATTCTTTCAAAAGAGGTGTGCTTCACTGATATTTGAATGTAAAAAGCTATGTTTAAATTGAAGAAGTTTCTGGAAATCTTGTCAGTAACATTGTCCTCAGAAAATACTTAAATATAACCCAAACATACATAACATTGAGTGAAATAAATCCAGACTTTCAAAAATAGTAAAAATTATCTAGTGATAGGGGTCCTGACAGGTGGCTATCTTCTCCCTTTATTATAGAGGAACAAATAAAATCAACTCAAAAAAGTCTATTTTAGTAGTAAAAAAAATAATCTGTCAGTAGAACGTTATTCTAGCTCCAGAGGAAAAACAGTTAATTTTCAAAGAGCCGATTATGGAATTTCCACAATATGGTGGAAATATAAGGCCAGCCTCACATACAGGCCAGCCTGGGGAATCATGGGCTGACATCACAGAAAATAATGTATTCTCCTAAGGAAAAACAAAACATATCTTTGTATTCTGGGATGGCCTCACTTTATCTTTATAACATCTTCAGTTGCAGATAGCAGGAAAGAGGCATTAATAAAAGGTAATGATTCACACATTTTAGCACTACTTTACAGTTGGGAAGCCTGAGACTTCTTGAGCACATGTGCTGACCCAGTGCAGCATTGTATTCCAACCAGGCAAGTCAATGGCAAAGGCAAGACAACAGCCCAGCTTCCAGCATTCTGTCCTAACCAGAGTCCTAACAAATTCTTTCCTCCTCCAGTATCTACCATCAAAAATACCACTTATGTCTCTAGTTGTTAAAATCTATTTTATACTGTGAAATGTTTATTTTTATTCTGTATTGTGTGTACTGTTAGATGCTTTCACATGTTGTGTTTAATCACTGTGAGATCCTGAATAGATTATGCTTATTGTCCCTATTACTCAGACAAGAAACAAATAGACAAAAGTTAGATGCACAGCCAGAAAAACATTATTTGTAGGAGTATAGGGATGGCATACAGATCTGACTCAGCGTCCTTTTCTCCTGAATATAAAAATCTGCCACTTTACATCCATTTATATATACAAATTTAGGGATACTCATTTTGAATTGCTATCTTTTCCTGGGAAATTAAACATTATAAACATTGTAAAATAATCTATTTCTAGTAATGATTTTTATACAAAGGTCTATTTTATCATCTATTAAATTGTGTGTGTGTGTGTGTGTGTGCGCATATTTGCATGCTATATAATTATTATTATTATTCTTAGAGACAGTCGGTCACCTAGGTTGGAGTGCAGTGACATGATCTTGGCTCACTGCAACCTCTGCCTCCCAGGTTCAAGCAATTCTCCTGCCTCAGCTTTCCAGGTAGCTGGGATGATAGGCACACACCACCATGCCCAGTTAATTTTTGTATTTTTAGAAGAAACGGAGTTTCAGCATGTTGGCAAAGCTGGTGCGGTCCATCTGGTTCAGCCTACCAAAATGCTGGGATTACAGGTATTTGCCACTGTGCCTACCTGCTATATTATTTTTTTATTTCCATTTCGGCATTTCTCCATCCTTATATTTCAACCAGCTGTGTCCCTTTTAATCTATATAGCAATTTTTTTATGCATTTAACATTCTTTATTTGTAATTGGAACATTTAGGTGCCTTAACTAAATTTAATCACTGATATACCTTTTTCCATCTTTTTTGATGGACCACTTAAAAGACATATTACATTTTCACTGTATTTCTTTCATAGTTACGTACTTATTTACTATTTTGTCTGGTGGTTACACAAAGGTTCAAACTTGTATCTTTATCTTATGAAACTCTAATGTTGAGTGATATTATTCTCTTCTTCCTGCAAAAGAAAAATATTTTTACCTACTTTCTAACATCTATGCTATTTTTCATGTAATTTATGTCTATAGTATTTAAACCCTAGTAGATATTACTATTTATATTATATATAGTCAATAGTCATTTAGATTATCCCATATATTTAGCCTTTCATTGATGTTATATTATTTTCTGTATCTCTGAAATTTCCTTTGAAATTACAACCCTCTGCAGGAGAAATATCCTTTAGTAGTTTCCTTGGTGCAGGTTTGCTGGTTGCAAAACCTCTATTTTTGTTTTAACATTCCTAAAACTGTATTTTGTTCTTGGTGTACATTTTCATTAAATGTTAAATTCTAGGCTAGCAGTTTTGTTTTTTAAGCACTTTAAAGGTATCATGGCATTATCTATTGGACTCAACCGATTACGTTGTAAAGTCATCTGCAACTCTACTCATTGCTCTTATAAATGTATTATCCACTTATTTTATCACTACTTTTGACATTTTTTTCTTTGTCCTTATGCTCACTAATACATCATAGTGTTGTGTTTTAATGTGGATTTATTTTTGTTTACAATTTGCATTAGGTTTCTTTATTTTGTGGATTCCTGTCTTATATCAGATTCTGAAAGTTTTTGACAAATATTTCTTGCAATGTTTTTCATCTTCATAATCACTTTCCCCTCTTTCCAGGACTCAAATTGCTTATGTTGGTCATATTCATTGTGTATAACTTTCTAACCATTACTCATCTAATTACGACACGGTAGCAGTCAGTGAGAAAAAAACTGTACCACGATTTTCATACTACTTGAAAATTGATGTCATTAGACATTAAATTTTCTTACCACAAACAAATGATAAGTATATGAGGTGACTGATATATTACTTTCATTTAATTATTTTGCCATGTATCAAAATATCATCAAATGTATCAAAATATCATGCTGTACACCATAAATACGTACAATTGTAATTGTATAGCATACCTTAGTGAAGCTTGGAGAGAAAAAGTGTTGCTAAAACTGTTGGACCTCTTTGAGGAACAATAAAAGTAACAGCCTCCTAGAAGTTTCCTTCTTAGTCTTTAACTTTTTCGTTTTCTTTATTTTTGATAGATCAAATATCATGGGACTAAATGATGTTAAAAACAGGTTGATTAAACTCTTCAATTATCTGATGAGAAAAAATTCTAGCAAGATCAAATGGGATGGGAAATGCTTTCTAAGCATTTCATGAAGAAGCTGGAGTTTGAGGTTCAATCTCTACAGTGATAAGCTCTAATCCAGTAATTATCTAAAATCCCATGTGCTTTCCTAAATACTTATTCTGAAGTGATAGACCTGAAGATCACCTTGGTAAGACAAGATTTTGAGCCTCTTTGGATTCAGTTTCTGCCTTTTTATTTGCGGTCAGTTAACTAGTTAGCATTTATTAATTGTCTTTTGTTTGTACCAGAGGTTCTAGGTTTATAATGTTTATTGGTGATTATCTAAGCTTAGAGTAGAAAAAATAAATAGGGTGTGTTCTCTGGACATGAATAAAGTAGTATCACCAAATATGTTTGTCAGAATTCCCAGAAATGGAAAAGTTTACATGTAAAAGTGTCGAAAGCCTTTGAAATATTGTCTGGGTGTTCATAATCCAAAGCATGGAAAAATAGTCACTTAATCCTCCAGTAGTAGGGTTTTGTTTCTCAGATTTTAGTTAGACATTTTCACATTTAAATTTTACTAATACATTTAATAATTTTTATTGAGTGCCTACTCTCTGCCAGACAACCAATGAAGAAATATGTATGTGCTTATTGTTAACATATTAATAGAGTTTACAGATCAAAAATGAAAAGGCCTTTTCTAACCATTTTTACTAATTTTCTGATGAGAAATAAAGGTCTCTGTAGGCATTGATGCAATGGATAAGGCTTTCAGAATTCTTGAAAGGGCTCTATTATGTATGGTTATGTTGTAACTTGACCTATTTTTCCAGTTCTGTCTCTTCACAAAGCCTTTTATTTTCTGCATTTGATTGCAGGAAGGTTGTAACTTTGATAATATCCTTTACCTTGATTTATTCTTTGTTAGAAATACTAAAGAGGTTGTAGCTCTTAGTTACCTGCTGATATCCAAAAAGATGTCAAGTTCCTTGTAATTAATTACTTACCCTCTGTGGCACATTAAAAAAAATGTTTTTTTTTAAATGATCAGAGAAAGTGCATAGAAATAACCCATTAAAAAAAAAGAAAAAAGCTTAAGAAGTCAGGTGGGCTCTTTATTAGGCCATAAAGAAGCTAAAGACTTTGTTTAGATACATCAAGAAAAATATAAAGCAGATGTAAAGTTGGGGAATATAGTTCAGCAAATTGATCATTTCCTTAAGGATGTCAAGGACAAATGTTGCCAGATTTTTTGACATGCTTGACCAACTCTTTTGGCTTATTAAATTTATGTTTGTTTATTTATTAAGAGATAACCAGAACACTAGTAATTTGAAGAGTTAATTGAGGCCAGAATAACCACAGTGCTAAGGCTTAGAAAACTTACAGTCTAATTATGAAGTTTACAATGAATGTTAATGATTGATATATAGTTGAGGTCATACAAGTTAGAAGACTGAAAAAAAAAAAGAAAAGAAAACAGAAAAGGCTTATGTGTAAAAGCTACAATTGCCAAAATATTGGTTACATTTTTATTGTCCAAAATAATGAGAGGTATCCGATATGAATATACAAATTAAATGTAGCTCCTACCTTCAATATAATATAATAGATTAAGTTGATAAGCAGCCATAACTGATATCATGGCACTAATAATCAAATAACACTGGGTTTTTGACAGATAATGACACACATTCTCATGTAATTGTTACAGTTACTCTGTAGAATAAGTATCATTATGGCCTACACTGTTGGGATCCTGCACAAAATACATTTCCCTTTCTTGTGGCCTCCCTATGTAATGGAAAAGGATTGTTAAATCCAATCTCAACAACTATGTTTCTTGATTTAGGGTTGGCCATGTGACTAAGTTCTGAACAATGATATCTAACTGGAAATCTGTTAGTAAGAGTGGGTTGCAGTCTTGAAAAGTTTTGTTTTCCTGATAAAAGGGAAGATCCATCGCTGGTACCTGTAACCCTCATGTGAAAATCTGGAGATTCAGCAGCCATCTTGTGACTATTAAAGGATAAAAGGAAGACAAATGCCAGTTCACTAAGGATGGTGGGGAAAAAATAAAGTTGCAGGTTGTATTTCTTCTGACACCAAACGACATTCGAATAAAAAATGGCAAATATTCCTAATGAGAAAAATCCATCTACATTTGTTTAAGCAGCTGTTACTTAGATATTTTGTTTCTTGTAGCTAAATACATTTCTGACAAACAATAATTTGTCTGACTTTTGATGTTATATTGTTCACTATGGCCTTAAGTGGAGGCTGTAATAATTTAGCCTCCAAGGTTGTTCCCATCTTTATTTTGTTTAGATCTACTTTTTCGTTAGTTTAAATGGAAACCTCATCTTGTTGGAGCGAATGTGTAACGAGTTTGGGGATCATACTCTTGTCTCCTTCCATTAAGACCCTTTTTTTCATTTGTTTACATTTATTTCTGGGTTTCTACATGGTAGTCTAAGATTCTTAGAATTTTTAAAAATAATCAAAAAATTTAATATCAGGCTTATGGCTAACTATATTTTTAGTGTATATGTGTGTATTTTGCATACTTTTATTTCATATCCTAAAGAATTTGAGACTTTTTTTTTTTTTTAGATGGAGTTTTGCTCTTGTTGCCCAGGCTCGAGTGCAATGGTAGGATCTCTGCTCACCATAACCTCTGCCTCCTGGGCTCAAAGGATTCTCTTGCCTCAGCCTCCCGAGAAGCTTGGATTACAGGCATGTGCCACCACGCCTGGCTAATTTTGTATTTTTGGTAGAGAATGGGTTTCTCCATGTTGGTCAGGCTGGTCTTGAACTCCCAACCTCAGGTGATCCTCCCTCCGTCTCCCAAAGTGCTGGGATTACAGGCATGAGCCACCGCACCCGGCCTGAGACTATTTAAAAGAAATATATTCAGTAAAAGGACAAATACACACGTAAAGTACAAAATTAGGAGCCTAGAGAGTTACAGGTGGATTGTGGAGAATAAACTGCAAATATGCAAGTCACATGTTTACAAAAAGTTCTTAACATTGAGCTCTAAATATGGTTTTCATAGATAGTATTTATTGAATGCCTATTATGTACCAGATATTTGCACTATAGAATGTAGCCCAGCCTACTTTCTTCCAAAACACACATGAGCAGTCCAGTTTCCAAGAGACAGTTCATTCTTAGATTCAGCCAGTGCTAGGAAACTGACTATATCACAGTTAATTTTCCACTTAAAATTAGAAGTTTGTTTCAATTTAACCATAATTTAGGTCATGTGTGATCTTTTGGGAAGTATTCAAGTGGATTAAAAGTTATGGGTAGTGGTGTATATTCTATACATCAATATGTGTGTGTGTGTGTGTGTAAAATCTATTCAGTAGGTCTCTAAATCTCCATTTTACAGTGTTATCAAGAAAAAGATTCTGGTTTTGTCTGGCCTGGATTCCTCTTTCACATAATGCTGAAGTCCTCTTTGGCTGCTGAGAATTCAGTCTCTATACCACAGGTGCAAAAATTCTTAAAATTCTTATATCAGAAATGCTATCACTATTTGCTTTATCAAAAATTTTGCAAACAGGTAATGTAAACCCTACAATGTCTCCTTTCCTAAAGATTGTTTTAGGTCTTTAGAACTTCAGCATAAATTTTATAATTGACTGAGAAATTACTAAAACATAATCTGCAGGGACTTGAACTATGAATAAATTTGAGAAAATTGACATATTAACAACATTTAGTCACCTGATATAAGAACATATTATTTAGTTTTAAAAAATGTTTTCTGGGAATGTTCTATAGATTACCATTTACAGAAAACATACACTTATTGTCACATATATTTCAAAGTATTTCACATTTGGAAGAACTATACTTAGACGTTATTAAAATTAAGATTTCTGGATGTTTCATTACTGTTATAAAAATGCAATAAAAATTTACTGTTATACAAATGCCATAAAATTTTCAATTAAAATATTTCTTTTTTGTTACTACAAAAATAATACATTTATTGATGAGAAACCATAAAGCACAAAATACTTTTTAAAGTGCTTATAACTCTTCTCACCCAGAAGTCATTGTGATGTATAACATTCTATAGATAGGCAACTTCAGCAAAGTCTCAGGATACAAAATCAATGTGCAAAAATCACAAGCATTCTTATACACCAACAACAGACAGAGAGCCAAATCCTGAGTGAACTCCCATGCACAATTGCTTCAAAGAGAATAAAATACCTAGGAATCCAACTTACAAGGGACGTGAAGGACCTCTTCAAGGAGAACTACAAACCACTGCTCAATGAAATAAAAGAGGATACAAACAAATGGAAGAACATTCCATGCTCATGGGTAGGAGGAATCGATATCGTGAAAATGGCCATACTGCCCAAGGTAATTTATAGATTCAACGCCATCCCCATCAAGCTACTGATGACTTTCTTCACAGAATTGGAAAAAATTACTTTAAAGTTCATATGGAACCAAAAAACAGCCTGCATTGACAAGTCAATCATAAGCAAAAAGAACAAAGCTGGAGGCATCACACTACCTGACTTCAAACTATACTACAAGGCTTCAGTAACCAAAACAGCATGGTACTGGTACCAAAACAGAGATATAGACCAATGGAACAGAACAGAGCCCTAAGAAATAATACCACACATCTACAACCATCCAATCTTTGACAAACCTGACAAAAACAAGCAATGGGGAAAGGATTCCCTATTTAATAAATGGTGCTGGGAAAACTGGCTAGCCATATGTAGAAAGCTGAAACTGGATCCCTTCCTTACACCTTATACAACAATTAATTCAATATGGATTAAAGACTTAAATGTTTGACCTAAAACCATAAAAACCCTAGAAGAAAACCTGGGCAATACCATTCAGGACATAGGCATGGGCGAGGACTTCATGTCTAAAGCACCAAAAGCAATGGCAACAAAAGCCAAAATTGACAAATGGGATCTAATTAAACTAAAGAGCTTCTGCACAGCAAAAGAAACTACCATCAGAGTGAACAGGCAACCTACAGAATGGGAGAAAATTTTTACAACCTACTCATCTGACAAAGGGCTAATATCCAGAATCTATAATGAACTCAAACAAATTTACAAGAAAAAAACAGACAACCCCATCAACAAGTGGGCAAAGGATATGAACAGACATTTCTCAAAAGAAGACATTTATGCAGCCAAAAGACACATGACAAAATGCTCATCATCACTGGCCATCAGAGAAATGCAAACCCAAATCACAATGAGATACCACCTCACACCAGTTAGAATGGTGATCATTAAAAAGTCAGGAAATAACAGGTACTGGAGAGGATGTGGAGAAATAGGATCACTTTTACACTGTTGGTGGGACTGTAAACTTGTTCAACCACGTGGAAGTCGGTGTGGCTTTTCATCAGGGATCTGGAACTAGAAATACCATTTGACCCAGCCATCCCATTGCTGGGTATATACCCAAAGGATTATAAAACATACTGCTATAAAGACGCATTCACACGTATGTTTATTGTGACACCATTCACAATAGCAAAGACTTGGAACCAACCCAAATGTCCATCAATGATAGACTGGATTAAGAAAATGTGGCACATATACACCATGGAATACTATGCAGCCATAAAAAATGATGAGTTCATGTCCTTTGTAGGGTCATGGATGATGCTGGAAACCATCATTCTCAGCAAACTATAGCAAGGACAAAAAACCAAACACCGCATGTTCTCACTCATAGGTGGGAATTGAACAATGAGAACACATGGACACAGGAAGGGGAACATCACACACTGGGGCCTGTTGTGGGGTGAGGGGAGTGGGGAGGGATAGCATTAGGAGATATACCTAATGCTAAGTGATGAGTTACTGGGTGCAGCACACCAACATAGCACATGTATACATATGTAACAAACCTGCACAATGTGCATATGTTCCCTAAAACTTAAAGTATAATAAAAAATAATAATTATAAAAATAAATTTAAAAAAAATTCTATACATATAAGATCTAAATGTGCTTTTCCAAGAAAATTCTCATACTACGCATGCTAATTTTTAGTCTCCTTTTTACAACTTGTAGTTCTGTTATGTTGAATGTTATATGTTATATATTTGTTTAATTGTTATATACTTGCAATTAACATTTATATATTTGCCTTGTATAAGTCAAACTTGGTAAACTCATGATATTTTGAGTTTTGTAGAATTTATCACATTTCTTACAAAGATGACCAAAACCTCATGAATAAAGCATGTTACCTCTTTATTTCCAATTTGTAGAACTTTTATTTCTTGTATTTGCCTTATAATAATAACTAGAAAATGCATTACAATGTGAAAATAAGTTGCCAGGTTATGGCAGACATTTTTACCTTCTAATCTTAAGGGAAAAAGCATTTAGTTTTTCACTATTTAGTTTGATGTAAGTTGTAGAGTTTTTAACTATATGCCCTGTAAAAGCCTCATGATATTCTCATCTATTCCTAATTTTCTGGTAATTTTTATGAACAACAGATGTTAAATTTGTCAAATTCCTTTTCTGTATATACTGAGGCAATCATGCAGGTTTTTAAAAATTTTTTGTTAGTTAATGAAATAAATTATTTTGGTTATGTTTTTGTGTTAAAACAATCTTTCCATCCAGGGATAGACCTAATTTGGTCATTATATATGTCTACTAAGGAATTTATCTAATTGTTGGATACAGTTGTTGGACACAATTTATCTATTTATCCAACGATTGAATAAATTAGCATACATAAGTAATTTACTTAGTATATATACATCTCCTCACAAGATGGAGAGAGAGGACTCACTGTAGATCCTTCTAGTCCTCTCTCTCCATCTTGATATTGGAATTTTTTCTTTTCTAACTTTTTTTTCTCTGATGAGTCTGGTGGCTAGAGAATAATACATTTTATTAATTTTTCAAAGAAAAAGGTTTTGCTGTCATAAAGTGTCTTCTATTATTGTCTTCTATTTTATTGCTTTCTTACCTCATCTTTATCAGTTATTTTATTCCAGTAGCTTTGGATTTCAACTGCTATTCTTCTGGTTTCTTAATAAAGAAGCTTAGGTTATTAAGTCGATAAATTTCTTCTTTTATAATACAGGTAATAGTTATTGAATGCCATAAATTTTTCCATTTTCATTATTTTGCTGAATCAAACAAATTTTATATGTATTTTTTAAAATTTCCATTTATCGTAAAATAATTCCAAATATTCTCCTATTAATCCATGGTTTATTAGAAGTGTATTGCTTAGTTACAATGTGTTGGTATTTTTCAAATACATTATTACTTTTTTTTATTTAATTTTATCATGGTCACAAAATACACTTTGCATTAGTCAAATCGGTTTAAATTTATTTTACTTATTTTGTGGTCCAGAATATTGTCTATCTTATTAAAAGTTGTATGTTAACTTGATAAAAATGAGTATTCTGCCATTTTGAGGGTGGTGTTCTATAAATGTCAATTATATCACATTGTTGACAGATTTTTCAATACTTCATATCCATTTTGATTCGCTGTCTACCTTTTTATCAATTTGTAGAAGCACTGAAATCTCTCAAAATTATTAACAGAATACTTACAAGTATTCTATTGTCTATTCTTAAAATTATCTATTTGTTTTTCATTCTGCAGGTTTTTCAGCTCTGTCAGTTTTTTACTTAAGTTTTTTAAGTTCAGTACTTCTTGAAAGTGTTGAAAGACAGAAAATTCTATTGTCTAGTCTTATAATTGTCTATTCTTTGATTTAGTTCCATAAGTTTTTCACTTCTTTAAGTTTTTTATTCATGTTTTGTAAAGCTCTGTTATGTAGAAATGCTGTGTCCTTGAACTATCAAAGTCTTTAGTAATGTGTAACAACTGTCTTTGACCTTGGTATAATTCCTTCCTCTGCCATCTACTTCTTCTGATATTGATATAATTACTCCAGCTTTTTTGCTTAGTGTTAGCATGGTATGCTATTTCCCATCATTTTATTTTTAAATCCTTTACTTTCTCTTTTAATCAGGTTTCTTATCTGCAACATATCATTAGATTTTGTTTTTTAAATAAGCTCTCAATTTATGATTTTTAGTTGGGGATATAGAATAGTTACATTTAATTCAATTATGTATAAAGCCTGGTTTAAATGTATTTTCTTGTTTTCTATTTGTCCCATTTCTGGTTTGTTCAATTTTTTTGCTTTATTTTGATTATTTGAGCATTCTTATATTTTATCTTCTTTATTAGCCTACTAGCTATATTCCTTTGTTTTGCTAATGTTTACCTTAGCATTTCTAATGAAAATCTTCATCATAGTTTTTATTCTATAATATTAAACCATTTCACATAGAGTACAAGGATAGTCATTTTCTTCTCCTAGTTTTTATTATCTTGTTATATTTTCGAAATCTGTATGTCTTAATAAACCTCACACTATATTATTATTATTTTTGCCTCTAATAATTGTCTGTTAAAGAGACTTAAATAGTACAACAATTACATTTACTGAAATAACAATTTTCAGTACTCTTCATTTATTTACATAGATCCAAGTTTCTATCTTGTATAAATTCCCTTCTGCCTAAAAGACTATGTTATTTTTTAAAGTCTAGTTCTGGTGATGATTTTTTTTAATCTTTTGCATGTCTGAAAAACCCATTAATTGAATCATTGGGTTTGAAATAAAATTTCCTTTGGTATGAAAGTCTAAGTTGACTCTTTGAGCAATTTAATGATATTAATCCATTCCTTTTTGGCATGTATTTCCTTCAATAAATCTGTCATTATTATCTTTGTTTCTCTGCACATAATAAATCATTCATTGTAGCTGTTTTAAAGATATTTTTAAAGCATGACTGGTTTCAATTTATTTAACTAAGTTGTTCTTAGATATAGTTTTTATCATTTTTATGAACATGGTAGGTTATTTTAGCTTATATAATCTGTGAATTTACAGTTTTATCAAGTTTGAAAATTTTTCAACCAATACTTTTTAAATGTTTTTTTCTATCTCCTATCTCTCTTCCCTATTTTGAAGATTCAAATTTCATGTTTATTAGGTTGCTTAAAATTATCCTACAACTTAAGACAATATTGTTTGTTAGTTTTTTTAATCTTATGGCTCTTTATATCACTTGTTGCTGTTTCATCAAGGTCATTAAAGATATTTTATTCTACGTTATATCTAATCTGTTGTCATTTTGAGTATTCCACAAATTTAACACATGCATTCTATTTTTTGTCTATAATACTTCAATTGGAGTTTTTTGTTTTGTTTTGTTTTTCACTTTCTGTCTTAGTTCATTTGGGCTTCTATAACAAAATACCACAAACTGAGTGGTTTATAAACAACAAAAATTTATTTCTCATGGTTCTGGAAGTTGGAAAGTCCAAGGTTAGGAAGCTGACAAATGTAGTGTCTGGTGAAGATTTATTTTCTTATTTATAATTGGCTCCTTCTAGCTGTGCTCTCCCATTGTAGAAGAGAGGGGCTTGGGCCTCTTTTAAAAGGGTCTTAATTCCATTCATGAGGGCTCTGCCTCCATGACCCAATCACGTCTGAAAGATCCCACCTCCTAACTTGGTCACATTTGGAATTAAGACTTCAACTTATGAATTTTGGGGAAACAAACATTCAGAGCATAGCATTCAAAAATATGGCAAATTCTATATTTCTCTTTGTCACACTTACGCTTTTTTCTACCTTCTTGAATATATTGATTATAATTCTATCACTTGTTCCAGTATTATTTTCTATTAAATCTATCATTTATCATGTCCTTGGTTCTATTGAGTTATTTTTTTCTCATTATGCCTCATGTTTTTCTGATTCTTTTACGTCTTATAATTTTTTACTGTATGTCAAGTCTTACGATTTTTACCTTTTTAGGTACTAGATAACATTTTTTCACCTTTAAATTTTGCAATCTTTTTTGTGAGATGGTGTTAAATAATTTATTCATAGTAAAATTAACATTAATACAGTAATGTAAGCATGTATTATCAAAGGCAAGGTAAGAATAAAAGAGATTGTTGATTAGATGACTATATTCTATAAGTCAATCAATAAAAGTTAAGACTCACAAACATAGCTAGAAAAATGGGAAACAGAGAAAGAGAAAAATAAAAAAAAAATTGTTAGGAGTAAGAATATCTGCAGGAATAGCAGAATATAAAATGTTGTTTTTATATTATTTGTATCTGTAATACTACATATGACTTATTAATTACAAAATTATACCTATCACAGCAGTATCTAAATTCCTCAATAAAATACGAAAACCACACTTTCTTTGACGTGATGGCATTTGTGGTTATTATTATAGGAAAGTATACATTCTGGTTGATATCAGTCAGTGACAACAGTAAATACATAGGTATCAAATAGAATAATTTCCAAAATGTAAAAGTAACAGAATTGAACATAGATTTGACTATTCTTTTGAACAGAGTCATTTGAAAAGAGTCATTTGGTGCTCTCGTGACTTCTTTTCCCAAGAGCTTCTTATTACATGTCATATGGTAGCATTTTTATTTCCTTGGCTAGGAACAACTTGAAATGAGGTGACAGCAACTCTTAAGAGAATTGCCTGTGTGTTTTGCTGAAATTTAAATGTAATGCTACTTAACTTTTCAGGTATCCTGGGAATATTCCTAACTGTTTCTCCATATTTCTACTTGCTTCAATCAGTATTCTATTAGGTATAATGGTTTTGTGGAGCTCAGTCATAAAATTTGATTTCTAGGTTTTTCCATCATGCTGCGTCATTAAAAGACAAAGAGCCGCTTTACACAACTTACTAGAAAACATTAGGCAAAAATTTCTTTTTATGATAGGGAATGAAGTCAATCTTGCAAATCTTGCTAGATATTGTCTAATATTAACTTTAATGAAAAGCAATTCTCATCACCACTAGTAGATCATCAAGGATCTCTTATGGGTTTAGTTGAGCTTGCTCAAAGAGAAGCTCTTGACAGTATTGCATGAATTTTGATATGCCTAAGCTGCGAAGATCATATTTAGAAAGCAAGTTGAAGTATGATTAAAAGCAGCTAAGTAATATTCAGTAAATTGGTCTTGGCTCTACGCAGAGTAATTCATCAGAATTTATGTGGTTTAGAGAGATATGGAGGCAGCTAGTGTTTTGATTTCAGACTAATACTTCAAACTCACTGGAAGTTACAAATGATCTAAGGTATAATAATGTCATATGAAATGCATTCTTACTAAAAATTTAAACTGAATCTTCCCAATAAGAGTTTGAGGAAATTTATAAAAGGACATACTCAGTAAGATGGATAAACTAGAAAAAAATTCAGTGTACAGAGGATAAAGGGGTTGTTATCTCCAAAAACTAGACCCATGTGATGACTACATCCAGCGTTAATTTTATTCCTGATCCATTTTCAAGTCAAGGTTAAATAAAATGTATATATATATAAAATTTATATGTATAACACCACATCATATTATATATTTATATTTCATTTTATAGATGCATATATTTTTGTACATATATTAATTTTTCTCTATAATTATAAAAGTTGGAATGTATTAGTTTAATATTTTAATATTTACTAAACATAGGTCATTATGTTCTCATTGAATTCTCAGAACAAACTTGTGTGTTAGGTATTCTGATATTCTCTGTTTTATAGTAAAACAAATAGAGCTTTCAAGAGGTTAAAGAAAATTGCCCAAAGTCATACAGTTGTGTATGCTAGAAACAGGTCACAAATTTAGATGTGTCTAACTCCGTAATTTGAGTATAATTTTGTCATAAGATAAGAGCCAGCAGCCCCTAGGGCTTAATGATATGATGGCTCTATAAAAGGTCATTAAATTACATAATGGGCTATGGTTACAACAATTTTTATTGCTATTATTGTATTTTGGGGCAAGATGGTTTTAGACAACTAGTGGTATAAATTTCAAATGTTTAAGTCTTGTGTTTACTAACATTGCAATTACGCATATAACACAAATTTCTGTACATGAAAGTGAAACAAAATACATAGATTACTGTAAGCCTCAGTGTCCACATATTTAAAACTGTAATAATAATAACTAATTCCATGTGTTTTGGAATGTTTACAAATGAAAATATGTGTAAATCTTCTAACATAGTTACTCATATACTCTGACGTTCAATATATAACTAGATCTCTTTCCAGTTTCCTCCACTATTTATGAATAAAGAAATTCCTTGCGTGAAAAGCATTTCCAGAGTTACTCCACAACATAGGCCAGAAATGATTAACCACAACTGATTGATTTTTTTTCTGACTTTATTGATAGTATTGAATTATCCATCATAAATTTCTAATAAACAAATGTCTCAGTGGTTTTATATATCTTCGTATGCTAAAACTACATTTTCTAGGATCACTTTTCCTGTATATTTGCAGATTAGAAGTGGGAAAAAGAAGAACTGGGACTAGATTAGAAAAACCCAAGAAAAACAGCAGTCATTGCTATTGGAAGCTAATCACAATCAGAGACAATTACAATCTCAGTTATTTTCCATGGATTCTAGTTCTCCTCTCACCTCCACCATATATATATATATATATATATATATATATATATATATATATATATATATATATAATGTAAAAAGGATATTTGAGCTGAATGTGGTGGCTCATGCCTGTAATCCCAGCACTGTGGGATGCTAAGGCAGGAGGATCACTTAAGTTCAATAGTTTGAAACCAGCCTGAGCAACACAGTGAGACCCTGTCTCTACAAATAAAAAATAAAAATAGCTGAGCACCTACTCAGAAGGCTGGTGAGGAAGGAGGATTCCTTAATCCCAAAAGTTTGAAACTACAGTGAACTATGATGGCACCACTGCACTCCAGGCTGGGTGACAGAGTGATATTCAGTCTCTTTAAAAAAAAAAAAAAAAAAAAGGATATTTTGGGGAGGAGTTCTTTATTTTTATTTCCCCAAAATATGAGCCGATAGGAATATTTCATTTGGGTATTGAATTGGCTACAAGAAAGAGAGAAAGAAGAGAAAAATAAACATAATTTATATGTATACATTTCCTGCAAGGTGAGCCATTCATCAAATAGATGAATTTACCAGGAATAATTCATATCTTATTAATAAGAACCTATATTTGTGTTTTAAGTTCTTTGTAATGATGGTGAACATTTTAAGAAAACCAATAAAAAATTAATGACTGGGGCAGAAAATTTAAAACTTCTATTTCAAAGAGGAAGAGGAAAATGATTCTGTTTTCTAGAAGGGATTCAGTTTACTTTTTCTTACTTGTACATTATGTTTCATGGTATTTTATATAGATAAATGGCATCACAGCATATCATAATAGAATTGATATATAGGGCTGAGAGTTATAAATGTATGTTCTCTTAAAGTGCAGAATTCCTATTTTCGTGAACCACATGAACTATAATTTATTCATGAAATGTAATCTGAGTGGCTCAGGAAAGCATGGCGAATTTCTGATCTTTGAAAGGTTGGCTTTTAGAAGGACAGGTAATTTATTACGTCTATGTGACTTCATTGATAGCATAAATCACTCTTTCCCATATCTCTTCTCTTAACCCCTACTCTGATTCATATATACCATGAAGTGTCAGGTGAAGTTTTAGATGTGACGAAAGGAAGAAAGAAAGAAAAGGAACGAAGGAAAGAAGGAAGGAAGGAAATAAGGATGGAAGGAAAGAAGGAAGGAAGGAAAGAGAAGGAAGGAAAGAAGGAAGGAAGGAAAGAAGGAAGGAAGGAAAGAAAGAAGGAAGGAAAAAAGGAAGGAAGGAAAGAAGGAAGGAAGGAAGGAAAGAAGGAAGGAAAGAAAGAAGGAAAGAAAGAAGGAAAGAAGAGGGAGGGAGGGAGGGAGGAAGGAAGGAATGAAGGAGGAGGGAGGGAGGGAGGAAGAGACGAAGGAAAGGAGAAAGAGAGGGAGGGAGGAAAGAAGGAAGGAAGGCAGGCAGCCAAGAAAGAAGAAAAGGAAAGGAAAGGGGAAAGGAAAGGAAGGGAGAAAGGAAAGGAAAAGGGAAAGGAAAGGAAAAGGAGAGGAAGAAAGGGAGGGAGGGAAGAAAGAGGAGAAGGAGGGAAGGAGGGAAAAAAGAAAAGGCAGGCAGGAAGGAAGGAAGGGAGGAAGGGAGGAGAAAGAGAGAGAAAATATTTAGTCTTAAAATTAGTTTAAGGGTGCTGTATACCTGATTAGCAAGGAATTCATATTGATGATGTTTGAAACATTTATTTATCCTAAGATATTCAGCTAATTCAAGTAGTTAAGATTGTCTACAAAGGTGAAATGATGCAGTTTTATGATTAGAGGTTTTAAAAGAATCATTCAGCTAGCCTTGGCCTTAGAATATCAAGTTTGACTTATCTCTATTTGCAAATGAATGAAAGGTTTGTGAAACAAATCAGCAGAGACAGGGCTAGGGTGCTTTCTTAGAAGGCCAATACATGAATTTAGCAAAAATAAAATAAAAATTTCTTGAATAAGAAAATCTTATTTTCTCCTATATGCTTGTGGGTGATCAGGAAACATTTTAGGAAATAATAAATCCTTGTGATATAGGTGCTATTTTGTTTTAGACAATCAATGGAACAAAACAGCTACAGCCAAAGTGAAGGACACTGTATAATTTTTTTTCCCCAAAATGTGACTCTTATTATTCAAACTCTACCAGCTCCACTAGCACTCTACTCCGATCCCAGGGGTCCACAAATACAGCATGAGACAAACCCTACCTCTGCTTTAATAGTAATACATGGGAAAAGACTGAGACAAAGATATTTGCAGATGGAGATTGATTACTGTTTAGGAAGGGTTAGGGAATCTGCAATACAGAGGAAGAGGTGGAATTCCAACAAGATTAAAAAAAATAAAAATAGAGGGGCCTATTTATTCTGATTTATCTGGGACTGAATGTTTCTGATATTTGGGATTTTCAATGCTTAAAGGAGAAAATTTTCAGGCCAATTGAGATTATTGGTTACCCTAATGGGGAGAGATGGAGAAAAATTAAAATATGCAAAAGTTTCATTTAAGCCACCTGCTGAAGTCTTAAATAGTTTTGAGTTGGGCTCAAGAGTTTTAGGAATTAAGGCCATCACTCATATTTAGGAGTGAAAATATAGATGAAGAACACAGTCCTTCCCCAACTTCCTTACCAAATTCTCTGTCACCCAGGCTGGAGTGCAGTGGCTTGATCTTGGCTCACTGCAACCTCTGCCTCCCGGGTTCAAATGATTCTCCTGCCTCAGCCTCCCGAGTAGCTGGGACTACAGGCATGTGCCACCACACCCAGCTATTTTTTTTTGTTTGTTTGTATTTTTAGTAGAGACAGGGTTTCACCATGATGCTCAGGCTGGTCTCAAACTCCTGACCTCGGGTGATCTGCCAGCCTTGGCCTCCCAAAGTGCTAGGATTACAGGCGTGAGCCAACATGTCCAGCCTGAACAAAAACTTGTTTATCAATAACTCCTTAAACTTTCTTAGGTTCCCACTAGGTATTTGCTTTGAGAAAACATGTATGTATGAACATATAATAATTATAGAAATATAATCATATTTTATTATTTTATGTAACTGCAAAATCTTCCCTTATCCATACTTCATTTTAATCATAAATATACATTGAATAGCTATGTAAATGTTAATATTAATATAACTCTTCAACATAATTTTGCCTTTCAGTTATATCCAGTCTAATGTGTTTTTTATTTTTAATAATAGATGATTCATTAATTAGTATCTTCTTACAACATAGCATGTTGTGTCTGTTGAGTTAAAATCCACAATAAATTTCTGGGTTTGGATCACAATGTATTTACACATGTATGTCTTTATGACTACAGTACAGTGACTTTTTACTTTACTACTTTCAAAAGTTTATACCAGTTTCAAATGCTAACTTATGAGTCAACTGAATTTATAATTCAATTTTACTGAAACTTTGTTAGTAATGCATACATTGATATTTTTCCTAAAATTTTCCTAGTGCAAAAATAGAACCTCAAGGTTATTTTAATAAACATTTCTTTGATCATTCCCAAGAGTGAACAGTTCTTAACGTGTATCTACATTTTGTTTTTTGTAATTGCTTCTTTGCATTCATTTAAGTTTTAAAATTGCCATACCAAATGTGAAAGATTACATTTAGGCATTGTCTTTTTTTGGTAGTTATGCATTTAATTCAAGGCTAAAAGAGAAAAAAAAATTGTTTGGCATTTCTACTTGTAACACTGTTACAGTCATTAGGATAAATGGCATATCATGTCACAGTGAGTGATATTTGATAAATGATGGGGACAGTTGGAGAACAAAACTATTTAAATTTTGTTTAGAGCTTCAATAATGGCAGATGCTCATTTCCTCAATCTGTCTTATTGACTAAATTTGAAATGACTAGCAGGCAAAATACAATTAAAGAAAAAAAGCATGATAAATGAACATTTAAAAGGCAAAGTCAAGGATATAAACATGCAATGATTCCCTTGAAACATTCCTTTTAAATAGACAGAAAATAATTCTCCTGAACTTCATAATATAAGTAATATAGAATTTGGCTTTAGAGTGTAATTGATCGCACTGTTTACAGGAAAACATGAATTAAGAGAGAAGAAAATAAGGATGAGACATAAAAAAGGAGCAGAATTTTGGAATTATGCTATAAGAACGATAAAGAGAGACATTGAGCTGTTAAGAATATTATAAACCATCCATTTATAATTTCTCCTTGTTTTTCTAGATCGTGAGAGCAAAAATGACTAATACTTATGTGAGAATTAATAAATAACATATCTGGATTAGGAATGCCTAAGAGTTGACTAGTGTGCAGTATAATTTTTATTTGGCTAAAATTAAATGCCCTCTTTCTCTTGAATTAAGTAGAAGACAATATAATAGAAGGCAAATGCAGAATAAATATTCTGAAGGAGTGGGTGAGTTATGTCCCCCTGGTTATGTTTCCTAGTTTGGTTGATTCAACACCCCCTGTAAAGGCCTGCATTGAGGCCAACTCATGGTACTTAATACTTTGGAACTATCTCCACCTATGCAGGAAATTTTTGTCTTCTAGCTAATATGGATGAAGGTGTTTCTTCTGTCACCTGGCCTGGCAAATCGGCACTTTTAATACATTTTTGTATAGTTGGAAAAAATAGTTCTGAGTATTAATAAGTGTGTGTCCTGACACCTTTTGCTTGTGATGATTTTCGAGGATGAGTGGAGATGGATGTTATAAGAACTCAGTTATCCTTCCAGATGATCTAAACTTTCAGTCTATTGTAGTCATGAAGAACCAACTTCAAATCTCAACTTCACCATCTCCCAGTTGGTGTGGATTCTTACAAGTGGCTTAATATTTCTGGGTCTCATTATTCCCCATATATAAAACTTGCATAAAATACTGTGTGCCATCAATAGGAGGATAAAAATGAGTTCTCTGTTAGAAATATTTTAGGGAATAAAGCTTGATTCCTGGGAGAAAAGTAGCTCCTGTAATGTAGTGTTTTGTTTCCTTGAATTTAAGTTGCTTTAAATAGTGGTAGTGGTGGAGGTGGTGTATATTCTGAGGACAGTTGCTCTCTGTGGATATGTACTGTAGTATCAAAAAGTCCTTTCCTTAGTGTGAGGCTCATAGTATTTTAGAAAAGTACGAAAAACAGCAGATGCAACCTCTTACTACACAGATAAAAAGATGGAGGGCCAGGGAGGGAAAAGATTTTCCACAGATACCAAGTAAGTGAGGCCCAAACTCAGTTATTCTGATTTTCCAAGGATACATGGGTACTCTCAAAATTACTTCTTGTCAGTCAATTCTAAAATTGCTAGTTACAGAATGAGGTACTTCAGGTAATCAACATTTAGTGTCCGAAATATTTCATCTGCTCTTATCATTTGTCTGTGTTTTCTGGATGATTGCCTTAATGTTCAATTTACTTTGACTATGCGATTATACCTACATTTGGAAGGTTAGTTAATGATTCTAACAAATTCTGGAAACAATCTTAACAGTAGGCTAGTCCACTGGAGGTCAAACATCGCTAAACACAATGCAAGGAGAGAATGAGATATATGTACATATCTCCTATATATTTTTTTTGAGAGAGAGAGAAAGGCATATATGTTTATATGTATATGCCCCAACATAAATGTACTCAGAATATGAATTCACACACAAACATGTTTAGTATTGCAATTTGATTTTCTTTTGTAATTCTGATTCATAAAATTTTCCAGATTTCTATTTATTTAGTTTTTAAAAAAATTTCTTTTATCGTAAGTTCCAGGATACATGTGCAGGACATGTAGGTTTGTTACTTAAGTAAACATGTGTCATGGTGGTTTGCTGCACATATCAACCCCAGATACTTTGTTCTCGAAAAATACCTGTAATGGTTGTATAATTAAGCATTTTAATGTATCATATTATTAAGAATTTTTTGTTGTCATACATTTTTATTTGTCCGAAATTTCATGATTAAAATTAACATTTGAAGGAAGACGGATTCATATAAATTTCAATAATATTTTTTAAAATTGCGTATGTGTTGCTTTTTAAGGATAAATTTATAGGAGAATTATCCTCTCTATGTATAGAACTTTAAGTTATCACGATAGACACATTGTCAAAGTGGTAAACTACATTTAAATGCAGCATGCAGAGATATATTAATAAAAAGTACATATTTTGAAAGTAATTAGCTTAAATACCATAATGGATTTCTATTACTATCAGAATAAAATGCACAATTCTAAACATAATGTAGACATGTATTACCTGAGTTATCTGGATAAGTTCAATATAATCACAAGGGTTCATATAAGACAGAGGCAGGAGGGTCAGAGTCAGTTGAGATATGATTACAGAAGCAGAGGTCAGAGAGAGACAGAGAGAGAAAAAGTTAACAGTGGTACATTGCTAGTTTTGAAAATGTAAGATGGGGCTATAAGCAGAGTAATGCAGATGCCCTCTAAACCTAGAAATGGCAAGAAAATAGATTTTCCTCAGAAGCCTCCAGAAGCAATGCAGCCCTGCTGACAACTTAATTTGAATTCTGTAAGACTCGTTTTAGATTTCTGATTTCAATAAATTTTCTATAATAAACTTACATTATTTTAAGCCATTACATTTGTGCTACTTTGTCAAAGCACTAATATAAAACTCATAAAAAAATGCTTATTTAAATATTATGTTTTATATATTTAGTATAAATATATATGACATAGTATATACACTCTCCTTGGAATGAATGAATGTACAGATAGGCATAGGTAGATGAATAGATGGATAGAAAAATGTAAATACATATGCACAGATATTCACACATTTATACAGATGTATGTGTTTATATATAAAAGATATATTGATAATTAGAATGTTATTAACAAAACTTCAACTTTCTTTGGCATGGCCACATGCTCACTTACAGAACTACACACTTTCTATTCATCCTTGCCATGTTTCCATGTGATTATATTACAGACTATGTGATACGGTTTGCCTGTGCCCCCATTCAAATCTCATTTGAATTGTGACTCCCACAATTCCCATGTGTCATGGGAGGAACCCAATAGGAGGTGACTGAATTATGGGTGTGGGTCTTTCCTGCACTGTTCTTGTAATACTAAATGAGTCTCACAAGATCTGATGGTTTTAAAAATAGGAGTTTCCCTGCAAAGCTCTTTCTTTGCCTCCTGCCTATAAGATATGCCTTGCTCCTCCTTGCCTTCCACCATGATTATGAGGCCTCTCAGCCATGTGGAACTGTAAGTCCATTAAACCTCTTTCTTTTATAAATTGCTCAGTCTTGGGTATGTCTTTATCAGCAGAGTTAAACTGGACTAATACAGTACATTAGTACCAGGAGTGGGGTGTTGCTGAAAGGATACCAGAAAATGTGGAAGCAACTTTGGAGACGGGTAACAGGCAGAGATTGGAACAGTTTGGAGGGCTCATAAGAAGACAGAAAAATGTAGGAAAGTTTGGAACTTTCTAGACACTTGTTGCATGGCTTTGATGAAAATGCTGATAGTGATATGAACAATAAGGTCCAGGCTGAGGTGGTCTCAGATGGAGATGAGGAATTTGTTGGGAGCAGGAGCAAAAATAACCCTTGTTATGTTTTAGCAAAGAGACTGGTGGCACTTTGTTCCCGCCCTAGATATTTGTGAAACTTTGAACTTTAGAGAATTGATTTAGGGTATCTGGTAGAAGAAGTTTCTAAGCAGCAAAGCATTCAAGATGTGACTTGGGTGCTATTAAAGGCATTCAGTTTTATAAGGGAACACAATAGAGAACACAAAGATAAAACCATATATCTACAGCCAACTGATCTTTGACAAAGGCAACAAAAACATACACTGAGGAAAGACATCTTATTCAATAAATACTGCTGAAATATTGGATAGCCAGATGCAGAATAAAACTGGACCCCTATCTCTTACCACACATGAAAATGAACTCAAGATTGATTAAAGACTTAAATATAGGACCTGAAACTGTAAAAATACTAGAGGAAAACCTAGAAAAAAATGATTCTGAATGCCCTAAGCAAAGAATTTATTAATAAGATCTCAAAAACAAATGAAACAAGAACAAAAATAGACAAATGGGACTTAAACTAAAATTCTTCTTCACAGCCAAAAAAATAAACAACAGAGTGAACACATATATGTAGAATGGGAGAAAATATTTGCAAACTGCATCCAACAAAGGAATAATACCAAGAACTACAAGGATTTCAAACAACTCAACAACAAAAAATAAAAAACCCTATTAAAAAGTGGGCAAAGGACATGAACAGACATTTTACAAAAGAAGACAAATAAATGGCCATTAAACATGTGAAAAGAAATCTCAACATCATTAATCATCAGAGAAATGCAGATTGAAGCCACAGTGTGATAATGAGATACCATCTTATGTCACTCAGAATGGCTAATATTAAAAATTCAATAAAAAACAGATGTGGGCGAGAATGCAGAGAAAACACTTACACACTATTGGTGGGAATATGCATTATTACAACCTCTATGGAAAACAGTATAGAGATTTCTCAAATAACTAAAGTAGAACTACTATTCAATCCAGCAATCCCACTAATAGCACTATTCACAATAGCAAAGATATGGAATCTGTGTCCATTAAAAGATAATTAGATTTAAAAATGTGGTAGATATATACAATAGAACACTATTTAGCCATTAAAAATATGTATTTTGTAGCAACATGGATAATACTGGAGGCCATTATCTTAAGTGTAATAACTCAAAAACAAAAAGTAAAATACTACATGTTTAATTTTATAAGTGGGAACTGAAAAACAGGTACACATGGTCATAGAGAATGGAATAATAGACAGTGGAAACTCAGAAGAGTAGAAGCAGGGGAGAAGGGTGAGGGATGAGGAATTACTTAATGGCTACACTGTGCACTATTCGGATGCTGGCTATACCAAACACCCAGTCTTTAGCACTATGTAATATGTCCATGTAAAAAATGACACTTGGACTCCCTAAATATCTAACAAATAAGATATCAAGGCAGAAGCTGAAAGTTAACATGGCAAAATGCTACCAATGTTTATCTCTTGATTATATAAAAATGTGTTCTTCAAAAAATATTTTTATACATTTTGTACAGTGAGAAATTATATCATCCTGTCCCCAGAGCCAAATCACACTGACCTTTTATCTTTTTATTCAAACATGCCCAACACTCTCTGATCTCAGTGAATTTTTCCCTATTTGCTCTTATCAGTACTGATCTTCTTCTTCTAGGTTTTCACATGGATGACTTCTCTGTGTTCTATATCTTAGCTCAAGACTGTATTTGGGCATGTAGAAGTCTTCCTGGAGCTCTGGTCATCTGATAAAGCGTACATTTTCTCCATCTCCTTTCAGAAACCCTCCATTAATTCACAGTTATATTTGCTTATATTCAGTGACACTTATTACCATTGAAAGTTAGTCTACATGTCTATTACGTTTCTCACTACTAGAATCAAAAATTCATCAGAGTATGTTTATCAGTTTTGTCCATTACTGCATCATCACACCTAGAACAATATATCTGGAACGCAGTAATTACTCATAAAAATGACAATTTAAAGGTAACAATAAACGTATGGAGCAACGTCATCTGCTCAAATAGCTATTACAGCAGGACATGTAGAGCTGAACTTAACAAATATGCATCTCAGAACCATCTAGATAAGGCACTTACGGGAAATGAGGTTTAGTTTCCCTACGTTCATAATTGAATTTCCCATATGGTTGCTATGCTTAACTTGCTCAAAAGGGAATTATTCTATTAAAGAAATACATGTTCTTATATTATAATTTTTGAAAGTCAAGATATCATCTAATCAATACATTTGTGTGATGTACAATTATTCCTTTTTTTCACAAAGCCAGTATTAAACTAGTGGTTCATCAAAAATGCAATGCTGAAAAATATTTGAAGAAATATTGTACACAATGAAATCAACCAGAAGAGTAGCATAAGCTAGCTTCCCCTTATATCCAAAGCCAAAAAAAAAAAATTGTCATGATATTTGGGTTGCGGCTTGAGTAAAAGTCCAATGCTTGACTGAAGACTTTCCAGTATTACCTATTTTATACAGTGGTCCTTTCTGGGGTATCCACATCCACATTATATTTTTCAGAACTAAGGGCTATTTATAACTCTATTTTTACACTTATGTGACTTCTCAAGCATTTGCTTGAAAAGTCACCAATCCGATTGTTATCACATGTTTATTAAGAGTACCTGTTTGTAGTCTAGTTTATGACCAGAAGTGTAAAGATAATTGAAAAACAAATACAAATTACCATAAAAAAACAGTATTATATTTACTTATTTTTTATAATAGTATTCCCTAGAAAAATTGCTTCCTTCTGAAAATACACATGGTCACAACAATAGAACATCAGTTATTAGTTCTGCTATTTCTCCGATTTTTTTGTTTTTCAGAATTACGGCAGTCACATAATTAAAATTTATCTGATTGTATTTCATATATTTTTAATCTGATACAGCTTGCTTTTTTTTAGTTAAAGAGTGTGTGTATGTGTGTTTGTGTGTGTGTATATTTGCATATGTGAATGAATATTTCTTTAAATCTATGTCTATTTGATGTCCGCAATAGGGAAGAAAACCTAGCATATGCGTTCTTTGAAATTCTGACGATAGCATTATTATCTTGTTATTTTTTATATTTTAGAATATTCTTTACTAGTTGATTTATATATCATGTTTTTTCTTATCTACATATTTCATAATAGCCAGAATTAAATTTTCTATCACATTTATATTTAAAGTTTAAAAGGACCAGATACATGAGATATACATAAAATTGTATATTTAAAAATACAGTTTGAATTATTTCTCTTTTCAGCTAATCAAATTTTAACAGCCTCTGACCTAAACTAAAATTATTCTATTTTGGCTTATTTTCTGTTTTTTTAAATTATTATTAGCTATTATATTTTCAAATATTTCTATAATGTATGAGAGTATTATTTTATCTCCATCTCTAACAGTAATCACAATTTAAGGTTCTTTTGATTTTACCAGAATTAATAAAGTATTTTACCTTGTTTTCATTTTAACTGTCATATTCCCATCTACTTTTAATGTGGCTTTTGGATGTTGAACTTTTCTTTGAATAATCTTCCCATATTCTTTTCCCACTTTTCAACTGAGCCATCTGTTTTCTCTTCTTAATATTGGTGTTCTTTTTGTATGATTGCAAATAACCCTTTTTCTATCAACAAGAATATAAATTTTTCCAGGCTTATTATTTATCTATTTACTATATTTATTTTTTGCCAAATGAATATGTAAAATTTTAATAGTTATATCGGCCTGGCTTTTCCTTTATATATTCTAGATTTCTTATTCTAATAAGCAATAAACCTCCAAGTAAGGCATTCTATTTGATTAATGTTCTATTATTTGTTTATTTTGAGTTCAGATATCACAGAAGGAGGAATATTTGACCTACATTTGGAAATATAAGTAGATTTTCAGAGACTCCCCAGGAAATTGAAGCAATTCTTTCAAAAATACTGAAATATTAAAGAATATGGAAACATCCCATACTTCCATGCCTTTGTTCATATCATACACTTAATCTAATAACTTTCAAAGATTCAGACCAGGTGTTGTCAACTAAACCGTGCCTTTTCTATGGCTCTAGGTAGGACTAACACCATTTGTCTACTCTGAGCTGGTAAAATATACAAATATTTATCCAGGCTTTCCACATGTGATATTTTGATATTGTGTGCTTATGTTTCTACCACCATCTTTACTACTCCCTAACAACTCCATTTCCATTAGGTTGTAGTTCATTGAAAGCAGGGGTATTATCTTATTTATTTTTGTCTTTCTATAATTAAACACAGGGGCATATCGTAGGTAGTCAGTAAATGATATTGGAAACAAATTGATGATAGTATATTTATGGAATTTAGACTAACTTAAGTCACAGTGTAAGAGACAGACAGGCTGAATGGAGCTGTTACTAAGGGCCTTGGCTTCCATTCTAAGGAATTGAGGTTTGATCTCCAGACAATCAGATGGTGTGTGGGGCTACAGATCTCCTGAAATTATGTCCTCTGTCTTCAGCTACCAGGGTAGACAGAGAAAGACCATCAGTTGAGGGCAAAGTTAGGTGTGTCTGAGCTCAGACTCACCTTGGGTGGGGCTTGTTGGAGCTGCTGTGTGGTATGGGGTTTTGTTCCCAGGCCAACGGAATTATGTTTCCAGGGAGATTATGGCTGTCTCTTCTGTGTCACACAGATCACCAGGGAAGTGGTGGAAAGCCAGCAGCCACTGCTTTCATGCATTCCATAGCCCAAAAGTCTGGTCTCCCTTCCACCATGACCCCACAATATCACCAAGTTTATTTTCAGGCAGCAGGTGAGCAGGGCTGAGAATGTGCCCCAGGCTACAAGCTTCTGAGCCAAGAAAGCAAGCTGACTCACAGTTCCTTGGCTGTCCCACAAAGGTTGTGGCAATACACCTCCTTCAAAGGGTCTGTGGATTTTCTCAGCTTTCCTGGTATGTTCCTGCAGAATTTTTTGGAGCAAAAGTTCACGATGTGGGTCTCCACGCACTATTCTGTTTGTCCAAGTGGGAGCTGCAGTTAGTCTTACCTCCTACTTGCCATTTTCCCTTACTATCACCTCCATAGAAATTTATTCAAAATCCAGTTCTGCTATGATGTTTGTTATTATTTTTTTTCTTCTGCTAGCTTTGGGGTTAGTTTGTTCTTGTTTTTTTAGTTCCCGTAGTTAATTTAGTTTCCCATTAGTTTGAGATCATTTTAAAGTTTTGAGGTAGGCATTTAGTGCTATAAACTTTTCTCATAAGACTGCTTTTGCTGCCTCTTTTAGATTTTGGTATGTTGTGTTTCTGTTTTCTTTTGTGTCAAAGATTTTTTTATTTCTACCTTAATTTTGTTGTCTACCCCAAAGTCATTCAGGTCAAGTTGTTTAATCTTCATGTATTTGTGTAATTTTGAGATATCTTATTGGTATTAATTCCTATTTATTCCATTATAGTCCAAGAATATGTTTAGTTATGGGTACACCAAAATCTCAGAAATCACTACTAAAGAACACATCTATGTAACCAAAAATCACCTGTACTCCAAAAACTATTGAAATGAAAAAAGAGAATAAATCAGAGAAAAATAAAAGATGTTTATCTCTTCATTTTCTGGATTGCTTTGGAAGTTTCTTTGTGTTGATTTGCAACCTTGTGTTGGATCCTGTGGAGCTTCCTTACAATCCATGCTTTGAATCCCTTATCTGTCATCTCTGAGTTTCCATTTTTGTTAGAGATCTTTGCTGGAGAGCTAGTGTAATCCTTTTGTGGTGCCACTACGTTCAAATTTTTATGAGCAGAATCCTTGTGCTCTTATGTACTGGGGCTTCACTCACTTTTATCAACCAGATACTGTCACAGGGACTGTTTGCTCATGTTTTGCTCCCTGGAATCTGGAATATCCTTCACAATTTTGGTAGACTCCTATTTTCCTTCTTGAATTAAAACCCACAGAGTTGATCTTTGTGCACCATCTTGCTATTTCCAAGTGGCTGAGGTATGCTAAAAGCCTCTTATCTGCCATCTTGGAACAAAACAATAACAACATGCTTTTTCTTTATCAAATTCAGAAAATAGAATGAGAGCAGCTACAGAAAAAGATTAAAAATGTCCTTGTCCCACTGTTGCTACAACGTGCACTTACACGTGAGTAAACGTGAGTTTTTTTTTGAGATTATGTCTGATTCATTTTTTATAGTGCCAGTGCCTAAGATAGCATCCAACACATACTGATTTTAAGAAATCATTATGTGATAAATCACTGAAAGACCACTGAATTGAGAGACAGGACATTAGGGTCAAAATTAGGAAGGCAGACGCTTAATGTGTTGGAAGATCTCTGTTCCTGAAATGAAGAAACACCCACTCTAATTGAAGGTTTGCTCTGAGTTTCCTTTGTCTCATTATTTTCACTTCTATTTATTTATTACTCCTTTCATCTGAGCAAATGTCACAAGACAATCTAATAATTGTTTCATTTTGATCATGAAAATACATGTAATTACTACTGAAAAATTATTCTTTTTAAGTACAGCCACTGATATGGTTTGGCTCTGTGTCCCCACCCAAATATCACTTGGGATTGTAATAATCCCCATGTGTCAAGGGTGGGACTGTGTGGAGGTAAATGAATCCTGGGGGTGGTTGCCCCCATGCTGTTCTCCTGAGAGTGAGTTCTCACGAAATTAGATAGTTTTATAAGCATCTCACATTTTCCCTGCTGGCACTCATTCTCTCTCCTGCCGCCCCTTGAAGAAGTGCCTTCTGGCATGATTGTAAATGTCCTAAGGCCCCTCAGCCATGTGGAACTGTGAGTCAAATAACCTATTTTCTTCACAAATTACCCAGTCTTAGGTATTTCTTCGTAGCAGTATGAGGGCAGACTAATTCAGCCACGTAACCCCAGTGTATTAGCCACAGGAGAGACAAGTCGATGAACTACAAGTAGGAGATAACTTTTACCACCTAAAACCTGCATCATTATTGAGTCACCTATGTGTCCTTCTTCTCACCTTTGAGATAGGATGGGTGGAGGAAAATCATTAGGCCTACCACTTAAATTAAGAGATGTCGTCAACAAGGACTTTAAATGCTCAGAGAATGGAATAGATGCATTGTCAATGCCATTTCAGTGGTCGATAAGACTTTATATTGCTGATCACTCCAAAATTTTTCTCTTCTTTTATTGTCCTCCAGTGGTATAATATTCTTTGATTTTCTTTGAACATATGAGGCATGAGCAGCATCCTTCCAGGTGCTTTACTCTGCCTGTAAAGCCTGCTCTTGAATACTCATACAGCAAACTCCCTCATCTCAATCAAGACTTTTACTTCATGAATTTTACTTGGCCGTTACATTCAGAAATTAGCCAAGAACTAGTTTGAAGGTTTGATTCTAAATATCTCTATTTCAGTATTTAGTGTCGTTAATCATAAGGAATGGAATTAGGACAGAATACATTTTAAACAATAGTGGACTGCTCAAGCTAATGCCATTCATATTATCAAAAAAAGCCTCAGGAGAATTTAAAGGATCTAAAGAAAAATTTCCCTTCCCTTCCCTTCCCTTCCCTTCCCTTCCCTCCCCTCCCCTCCCCTCCCCTCCCCTCCCCTCCCCTCCCCTCCCCTCCCCTCCCCTCCCCTCCCCTCCCCTTTCTTCCTTTCTTATTCCCTCCCCTTCCATCCCTTCCCCTCCCATCCCCTTCCCTCCTCTTCCCTTTCTTTCTTTCCTTCTCTTTCCCTGTGTCTCACTGTATAAAAGTAAAAAGAAATGTTCACATTAGGCTGTGTGTTATGGCCCAAAATATTGGTCATTCTGTCAAGCCAGTTGCATTTCCATTCCCAGGGTAAAATCATACCCAAAAATGATGGAAATATTGCTAGAGGAATTTAGAAAAATATGTCAGCTTAACAAATGATGCAATGGTTTGTCTGTAAATAGTAATATAATTAATACCAAGAAATGAACTAAGAAAAAGCTTCTGAAAGTGTAGAGGTAACAACAAACATGCCATCCAATACTCCCATAATTTGTTTACACTAATAATAAAATGAAAGCAATTGCCCAGATAAATATCTCAGAAAACCAAAACCCATTAACTTCCAACCCAAGTATGCTCCTTCATTGAGGATGGATCGCCCTGTCTAGTTCAGGAAAAGAAGAAAAAATATTCGGCGGTTGTCTAGCATTAGCCACAGAAGCCTTGTGTTGAAAAAAAAATTCTAATATTGTGGCAGAACTTGCATGAAATCATTCAAAGAAAAATAATAAACTGTCTTCTGACATAAGTAGCTACATAAATCCTAAGACTAAGCATGATCTTAATGTAGAGTGACAACAAAAGGCAACTTTATGTCTTGTAAGTTTTGGCATATTTTTTCTCATTTTCAAGCACAGAAATTGCCTATTTTAAATATATTTAGGTGCTTCATATATATATATGTGAATATATATATAAATATATATGTGAATATATAAAAATATATATGTGAATATATAAAAATATATATGTGAATATATAAAAATATATATGTGAATATATATAAAAATATATATGTGAATATATATAAAAATATATATGTGAATATATATAAATATATATGTGAATATATATATAAATATATATGTGAATATATATATAAATATATATGTGAATATATATAAATATATATGTGAATATATATATAAATATATATGTGAATATATATATGAATATATATGTGAATATATAGAAATATATATGTGAATATATTTATGAATATATATGTGAATATATATGTGAATATATATATGTGAATATATATGTGAATATATATATATGTGAATATATATATGTGAATATATATAAAAATATATATGTGAATATATATATGTGAATATATATAAAAATATATATGTGAATATATATATGTGAATATATATAAAAATATATATGTGAATATATAAAAATATATATGTGAATATATATGAATATATGTGTGAATATATATGTATATATATGAATATATATGTGAATGTATATATGAATATATATGTGAATGTATATATGAATATATATGAATACATATACATGAATATATATATATAAATGAATTGTATTCATTTCCCTCTAAAGAGTATGAATTTATTCATAGAAGGATTGATGACATCTTTGACAGGGCTAGATGTTTCAGCTTCTAGCATAAAAGAAAAAACCTGAGAGAGAAACAGTGACCATTACCTACCCCAGCCAACTACTCGTGTTTTTCAGAGGCACTCTTTAGCTTTGGTATTACCTGGGACAATAGTGTTTTTGAATAATGACTCTGTCTCTTTCATTTTTATGCTCTAAAATCCCATTCTGTGCGTGCACTTAAAACATCTGTGCCCTTTGTTTTCAATGAACAATGAAGAATTCATGTGGGTTCACCACAATGCCTAGCAATTCATTTGGTTTGCCTTTCAAGGTGAGGTGATGTATACACTTTGTACTTACAACAGTATTAAAGGATCCAAACTTAATGAATGAATTTTCAATGGTAGATAAGGATTATTATGATCCAAAGCCCATCTCTTGGGCTGCAGCCTTCATCTACAACTGTCAGGAAATTTTCCAAACCATAGCATACTAATCTTGTGAAAAAACAGAAAACCCTTCTGAAATATTTATCTTTATAATACATTCTGGAATACCTTATGTTCCAGTTATTTTACCTGTCTCTCATATAATTTAGGAATCTTTAGCAAGAATAGTAAGAAAAGATGCACAGAGAACAAAAAGAAAAGTTGAGGTAAATGGAAGCAAATGGTAGAATTTGTAGATAGTTGATTTTGCAGGGTGCTTTGAAAGACATAAGGGAAACTGAGCAAAAAAACTCAGGCGATGAATATGTTCTTATACCTTGAAGAAGAGGGGATTGAGAACTGTTGAAGAGTGGCTGAATGAAGTCATTCATCCATTCATCTATTTGTCCTCACAAAAATGCTTATTGTAATCCTATTATGAGTCAGGCACCTATTAAACACTGAAGATGAGTAGATAAATCTGACTGCTAACCTCATGCTAACTCCATGAGGTTAAATACATGGACATGTATTAAATACATGGACATGTCTAGTTAAAATACATGGACATTACATAAATAATTAAACAAATAGTAATATAAATGCAGTTGTAACTGAGCGATTCAGTCCCAAGCATTTCCAGCATGCGCTGATGCACTCTGAGATAGAGTCATCTTAGATGGGACTGACATAACAGTGCATTTGTAGAGACTAATTGGGATAGCTGCCTTGTGCCCACATGTGATTTCCCTCTTGTGCAACTTTGCTGATAGATTAGTTTGTTAGGTATTTCAACATTGAATATTCACATTTATTCATTTCTCTCTGAACTACATTCATTCATTTCTCTCTGAACTATAGAATGAAAAATTTTAGAGCTACCACAAAAGAGGAAGACTTGAAAACCCTCTACATTATACTGAAGAACAATAACTAATTGTATTTTTAATTCATAGTCTTCATTATGGCTAGTACCAGTCTAGTAATTTTGAGACATTCTTGAAAACCTAGCATTAATATCTTTTTCCACAGATTTACGTTGATTTAAGAAACTGATGCTCCAATATTTAAATGTATTCAATTTGATTTCAAGTATTTTGAGATTAAAAAATTTATCACCAAATTAAATTATGTTATGTATGGGAAACAGAGCAAGATTAGATAAATTTGTAAAGCATAAAATGATAACTATTCTAATTAAAAGTGATCTTCTACTAGTGACAAACCTAAAACAAAGGGGAGCATTTCTAGGTTGTATTGGAATCCCACGTGGAAGGAAGCATTCATTTTTAAATGGAAGTGTGTTTATTATGAAGTTGAGTCCTGTCTATGAAGACTTTTACTTGGAAATTCTCATATGTAAGTGGTAGGATTTCTGGAGTGTTAAGCTAGCATAACATTTTTAATAATGCTCAAAACTATGTAAAGGAGCCTATAACTGCTAGAGTGAGTGAGCTGAGCCAAATTTGAACAGCTCTGGATTTCATTGCCAAACAGTTTTAGAAAGATGACATGCATTCCATTTATAAGTGACTCTTTGCAATGATAGTACTACTTGGCTAGTAGTTATCTATTAGAAAATTATGTTTCAAAATAAGTTTATTTTGTTACATTTGAACAAAATATAAATCCAAAATTTAACTGAAATTAATAATAAATAATTTAAAAAGAAAATGTTTGTCTAATATTAGAAATCACTTTTTAAGTCTCAACTTTATGTGTGCAAAGGGGACAACATCTGTACTGTTTGGTGTCTCATGTTTTCAACTACTGTACACGTCCTCTTACTCCAGACATAATAATGACCATTACTGAGCGCTTACTATGTGTCAGGCCATTTCTATTTTCCATATACTGATACATTAAATACTTATAGAAATCCTCGGGAGTGGATACTATTATTGTGTCCATTTTATAGATGAGAGGACTGCATTATAGAGAGGTAAATAACTGGGGCAAGGTTGTACAACTCCTAAGAAGCCACTGAATACTTATGTACCTGTGCTTTCCAGCTCTAGAAGCTGTATTTTTAACTACCCTTCTAGTCTGAATATCTTCTTGTCGCCATGACTTTACCAATGGATTTATCCCTGAATCTGTCTTTAGGTACTGCATGGGCACATTTCAAGTTTCAATTCAGATGTAATATCTCCCATGAATTTTCTTACATTTGTCCCACTCTTAACTGGGTAAGAAACCACACATATGGGCCACTACAGTCTCAGGGTTAATAGCACTCATCACACTAGATTCTTAATTACCCTTTTCACCTCTTTGTCTTTCCTACTAGCTTGAGATACTTAAGGAAAGACTTCTTATGTTCCCAATAAATGTTTACTGAATGTATAAATGAGTATGAAAGAATTGTAAGTAAAAATTTTGTAAAACTGCTTTTAAAACTGTAAACATCATAGATGATTATTTCATTTCATGATAAGGGTATTCTATGGCAAAATAGCGTCTCAGAGAGGGTTGTTTTTTCAATGTAAATAAAATGGTGAAATAAAAATTAAAACAGAAAGAAAATTATTCAAAAGGGGTAAACACTGATTTATGTTTGCTGCAGGGTATTTTTTAAATTGAAAATGGCATTTATAAAACAAAGGGCAGAAAAAAATTCAATTTTGCTTGAACTAAAGTATAATACTCTTGATTTTTACAACTGAAAGCATTGACAGTGACTTATCATCCTGACTTGACAAGGAATAATTGAAGAAATCTTAAAGAATCATGACTTAACTTTCTTTGATGGTATTAAAATCAAAATTGTTGTGTGGCACTCAATATGAGAACACATGACATAAAATACAAAAAATATAGAAAATAGATCTCAACTGAATAAATTTTTATGGCAAAGAATATTATGTCATATAGGGGAGAAGTTTCAGATTAAAAAATAAAGAGTGGGCAGAACACAGTGGCTCAGGCCTATAAACCTAGCACTTTGGGAGGCAGAAGAAGGCAGATCACGAGGTCAGGAGATGGAGGCCATCCTAGCTAACATGGTGAAACCCCGTCTCTACTAAAAATACAAAAAATTAGCTGGGTGTGGTGGCATGTGCCTGTAATCCCAGCTACTCGGGAGGCTGAGGCAGGAGAATCGCTTGAACTCGGGAGGCAGAGGAGGTTCCAGTGAGCCGAAAGCAAGACTCCATCTCAAAAAAAAAAAAAAAAAAAAAAAAAAAAAAAAAAAAAAAAAAAGAAGAGTAATAGAACAGGACAAATCAATTATATTTGTATTTCTGAAGGCAATGAATGGTCAATTCCTTGCTTGGATCTATGTGGTTAGAGAGAAATACCTGTGTTCCTAGAAGTGCACAGAACCATGCAAAGAGAATTGACAAGGCCTCATTCCAAAGACAAATGGATTAATTAGTTGTGATTGCATCTAAATTACTATTAAGAATCAAGAAAGCATGAAAAAAAGCATAGCATACTAAAAACTTTTTTTTTCTCAAATAAGACAGCCTAAATATGGATCCACCTTCTTATTGACACAATACCCTAACACTGGTTATTGAACAGCCCCCTAATTTTTACCACGCAGGTAGTTAACAACCTTCTAATAAAATTATCATGGAAATTGAAGGAAATCATGTATGTAAACTTGCACATTAGACATACATGATAGACATCTTCAGTAGGCTTATTACAACTATTATTAATTGCAAAACAATGAAGATGATCTCAAGTCTTAGAAAGCCAAAGTGTCAATTATTTCATTTTCTAAGTTGGCAAATGTATTTACCATACATACAGATATATTAAAAACGACTGATTATAAGGAATTGGTTCACATGATTGTGGAGGTTGGCAAGTCCCAAAATCTGCAGTGTTAGTCAGCAAGCTGGAGACCAAGCAGAGCTGGTAATTTAGCTCCAGTTTGCATACAAAGACCTAAGAACTATGAGAGCTGTTGGTGCTGTTTCAGTTGAAAGATCTTGGAGGCACAAGACCCAGGAAGAGTCATTGCTTCAGTTTGCATTCGATGGTGGGAAAATGCCAATGTCCCAGCCAAATACCATCAAACAGGAAGAATTTTCTTATTCAGGGTAGGGTCAACCCTTATGTTCTATTCAGACCTTCAACTGATCAGATAAGGCCCATCCACATTAGAGAGGATTATATAGTTTGGATATTTGTCCTCATCCAACTCTCATGTTAAAATGCAATCCCCAATGTTGGAGATGGGGCCTGGTGGGAGTTATTTGGGTCATGAAGGTGGATTCCTCATGGATTGGTGCTGTCCTAATGATAGTGAGTGAGTTCTCATAAGATCAGGTTATTGTAAAGTGTGGCACCTCCCCTATCTCTTGCTCCTGCTCTTGCCATGTGAGATGCCTGCATCCCCTTAATATTTTGCTGTGATTGTAAGCCTCCTGAGGCCCTCAGCAGAAGCCAAGCAGATGATAATGCCATGCTTCCTGTACAGCCTGCAGAACCATGAGCCAATTAAATCTCTTTTCTTTACGAATTACAAATTACTTAATCTTAGGTATTTCGTTATAGCACTGCAAGAACAGCCTAACACAGAGGTCAATCTACTTTGCTCAGTCTACAGATTTCAATATTATTCTCATCAAAAACACCCTCATGAAAACACCCAGAGTAATGTTTGGCCAATTATCTGGGTACAGTTTGGCCCAGTCAACTTGACACACATAATTAACCATCATAGCAAATATCATGATTTTCCTTAGGACCATGTGTAATAGCTTAGGTTTTTACTCACAGGAACAATAAGCCTATCTTAAAGCAATTACTCTGAAGCCAAGCATTTATGACATATACAAAAGGCTATCTTTGTATTTGTCTTTTTTTTCTATGTGTTTGTGTTTTCCTGATAATAAGGTTACCATAAAACATTTCTAGTAAGAAAACTAGAAAGGGAAAATTTCTACTGCCGTTATTTTAAACAATATTTTACATGCAGATTCTGGGAAGATTAATCATCACCAATGTCAAATAATCTAAAAATAACATTTGTCTTTGTAAAAGGCATTATACTTTACTATTTATTGTGTCAAAATTTATGCTCAACTCTCTTGCAATATTATCTCAGATAACCTTCAGTGTCCCTCCTAACCACTATCATGGTTAGAAAATGAGGCTACCAGGATTCAAGCTCTGATTTATAAACTTAAAAGTGTTTCTTGCCATTTTCAAAATATCTAACTCCTTTCTTAACTATAATCAAATATCATTTCAGTTTTCACTGATTACAAATTGCATATATCACAAAATAAGTTTGACTTTACAGCATATTCTAATCAATTCTATTTACTTGGCTATACTAATGCAATCATTATTATTGTTATCTAAGATAAGGTTGTAATTTGTCTCAGCAGGTGATTAAGTATGCAGTTGTTTTAGCCTTGATTCTCATTGCTAATTTTTTTAATCACCAAATACCCAAAACAATAGAATATTAACTGTTCTCTGTGAATCATAAAATGTTATTTCCTAACAAATTTTTTTAATTCAGATTTATAAATTTATAAATTTATAAATTTACAGATTTGAGTTTTACTGGGGAGAACAGAATAACTCTATTTTCAACAATGTTCACTCTCAATTTTAACAGTGATTAAAAATTTTATAACAGTAGCACTTGCCCTAAGGAGCACCAGCACCTAATACCTGGGTACCCATGGTGAAAATCATCCTGCTTACTAAGAGAAGTAAATTGGATAAATAGTCTACATCTTTGAATGTTTAATTAAAAGGCAGCGTATTTATGAGTGGCATTGAGATAGCTGAGAAACATAAAGTGAAACGTTTATTATTCATTCCCTGTCAGTGTATCAACATAGATATCAAAAGAAGACAGTTTTTCTCAATTTCATAGAGAAGAATCTAGGTTCAGAGAAGATTTAATGCTTTGACCAAAGAAATGCATAACTGAGAAAAGTCTTAAAGTGTTCAAATGCCTATCAAGAAAACAATAACACTAATTGCCAGGTTTAGCTGTCGGAGATACAGAAGTCAACATGAAAAATTTCTTGATTTCACAGAGCTTAGATTTTGATGAGGAAGGTAAGAAATAAAAAAGAGAACACATAAATAACTGTAATACTTCAGAGTGATAGATACTATAAAGTAAATAAGTCAGCAATATAGGAGAGAGTATGATGAAGATAGTGCTTGTAATTTAAATAGTTAAGTCATATGTTTCACAAGTGACATTTAAACATTACGTAAATTAGGTTAAAGAACATGTCATGCAAAGCCCCATTTTATTTCTCAGTAGCCAACTCTTTCCTCACCTTTGCTGTATTTTTATACGATAACTATAAATTGTGAGCACTTAATTGGTTCTGCAATCCTAACACCTTTATATTCAGGCCTTTGGACTACCAAGATATATCTTCTCTGTACCTGTAGAAAATAGGAGACTTTTAAAAACGTCCTATACAGACGTTTTTATTTTCCTCTTGTGTCTTGAGTTGGATAGTAAATATTTTATTTATCTTCTGTGTTGTGCACATTTTCTATTTTTTTAATAGAAGCCACACCCAATGCTACTTTTCTCTTAATGTCCATTTCCTCATTTCCCAGATCCTTGACCTCTACTCACACCACTTTTTATCCATGCCCAGGGAAAATGTGTATAATCATAGTGCCACCACAAACTGTGGTTTATCAGGGACTCAATTCATCTAGTAGGAAAGATACAAATGACCTCATCAATAATATGATCAACCCAACCCCAGGTTTCTATTTTTAAAATTTATTATTTAGATTACCTCCCAGAGCCAACTACTATATCAATTAGGATCCTCCTATCAAAAAATAGTTGTACACCCAAGAAAATAGTAGAAGAGAGCTTAATCAGGAGACTTGAGAACAGGAAGAAGACAAGGATGCTCACTCTTACCACTGGTATTCAACATAGTACTGGAAGTCTTAGCCAGAGCAATCAGGCAAGAGAAATAAATAAAGGTAACCAAATAGGAAGAGAGGAAGTCAAACTATCTCTTATGGCATGCAATATGATTCTATAACTAGAAAATCCCATACTCTCTCCTCAAAGTCTCCTGGAATTGATTTTTTTAAAACTTCAGTAAAATTTCAGGATACAAATTCAATGTACAAAAGCCAGTAGTGCCAATAACATCCAAGCTGAGAGCCAAATTAAGAATGCAATTCCATTTGTAATAGCCACAAAAAGAAATAAACTACCTAAGAATACAGCTAATAGGGAGGAGAAAAAGCTCTACAATGAAGATTAGAAAGCACTCCTGAAAAAAATCAAAGACAACAAGAACAAATGAAAAAACATTTCATGTTCATGAATACAAAGAATCAATGTTAAAATGGCCATACTGCTCAAAATAATTTACAGATCCCCTGTTATCCTATCAAATAAGCAATGGAATTTTTAATTTTTAAAATCAGAAAAAGCTATTCTAAAATGTATATAGAACCGAAAAAGAGCTCAAATAGCTAAAGCAAATCCTATTTAAAAAAAAAAGCCAGAGGCATCACACTGCATGACTTCAAACTGTTTAAGGCTACAGTAACCAAAACAGCATCATACTGGTAAAAAAGCAGACACATAAACAAATGATACAAAACAGAGAGCTCAGAAATAATCCCACACGCCTACAATTATCTAATCTTCAACAAAGTCATTAATAAAATGCAATGGGAAAAGAATTCTCTATTCAATACATGGTGCTGGGATAACTGGCTAGCCATATGCAGAAGGTTGCATCTGGACACCTTCATTTTACCATATGCAAAAATCAACTCAAGATGGATTAATGGCTGAAATATAATACATAAAACTGTAAAAACCCTAGAAGAAAACCTAGGAATACCATTCTGCACACAGGCTTTGGCAAAGATTTCACGGCAAAACCTCCAAAAGCAATTACAACAAAACCAAAAATGGACAAGTGGCATCTAATTAAACTAAAAAGATTCTGCACTTCAAAAGAAACTGTCAACAGAGTAAACAGACAACCTACAGAATGGGAGAAAATATTTGCAAACTATGCCTCTGACAAAGATCTAATATTCAGAGTATACAAGGAACATAGACAAATCAACAAGAAAAAAACAACCCTATTTAAAAATAGTCAAAGGACATAAACAGACCCTTCTCAAAAGAATATATACAAGTGGCCAACAAGAATGTGAAAAATTGCTCAACATCAGTAATCATAAGAGAAATACAAATCAAAACCACCTTGAGATACCATCTCACATCAGTCAGAATGGCTATTAATAAAAAGTAAGAAAAAAGATGTTGGCCAGTTTGTGGGGAAAAAAAGAACATTTATACACTGCGGGTGGGGATTCAGATTAGTGAAGCTACTGTGGGAAAAGAAGTTAGGAGATTTCTGAAAGAGCTAAAAACAGAACTACCATCCAACCCAGCAATCTCATTACTGGGCATATGCTTGAAAGACTATAAAACATTCTACCAAAAACAAGCAAACAAATAGACAAAAAAAACCCACATGCACTTTAAGTTCATCGCAGCACTATTCACAATAGCAAAGACATGGCATCAACCTAGATACTCATCAATGTTGGACTCGATAAAGAAAATATGGTACATGTACACCCAGGAGTATATGAAGCCATAAAAAACTGAAGTAATGTCCTTCGCGGCATCATGGATGCAGCTGGAGGCCATTAACCTAAGCAAATTAACATAGGAACACAAAACAAAATACCAAACATGTTCTTACTAGTAAGTGGGGCTGAACACTGAGTACACATGGACACCACGGCCTACTTGAGTGGGGAAGGTGAGAGAAGAGTGAGAGTCAAAAAACTATCTACTGGGTACTGTGCGCACTACCTGTGTGAGAAAAGTATTTGCACATCAAACCCCAAAGACATGCAATTTACTCATGTAGGAAACCTCCACATGTTCACTATGAACCTAAAATAAAAGTAGAAAAAAAAGACAATGATTCAAAAAATCATACAGCCTGCGTTCAGCATAGTCATCTTTCCCTCCAGCACATACAATTGTCCACCTGGCAATACTGACAAGAATGTGGCATCCTATGGATTTATGTTCTGAAGTTGCATATATAGACCCACACCTACTAAGCCTATTTGTTCTCAAACTCTGAAACTTAAAGTTGAGGTATCTCAACATGGATAAGGCATTGCTGATCTGAAGTCTCACATGCACTCTGTACGAACAGCTTTGCTAGGTGGTAAGCAAGCTTTAGAGTCATTTAAATGGGAAAATATTTTGTTCTGTCTATCTCTTGAAAAGCAAATAGGCCACTTGGGCATTAAATTACATTAACTCACTAAATGTCATGGCTGTATTAACTACTGCCCAGGCAGCAAATTGGAAATATACCATCAGAGAGAAAGCTGTTTCTCTCAGTCACTTATTATGCCAGACTTTTTACTTTGCTATTACAGGATATAAAGGCATCATGATGGGGAAAAATTTGGAGACTAAGACACCTTGCCAAACACATTTTTTATTTGTTGTAGATCTTGATAACCTTGTAGGAATTTTTTGAAGGAAAAGTCAATGTTATTCTCAAAAGATTGTTTATTATAATTTTGGTAAGAATTCATAAGATCTACCCTTTAACAAACTTTTAAGTATATAATAAAGTATTGTATCGCATATTTAATGATGGACACTCTACACTCATTAAATAGCTACTCCTCATTTTTCTTTTCTATCCAGACCCTGGCAAACACCATCCAGTCTTTGATTCTATGTATTTGAATATTTTCAATACCTAATATAAGTAGACTTGTACAGTATTTGTGTTTCTGTGACTGATTTACTTCACTTAACATAAGGACCTCAAGGTGCAGCCACGCTCCTGCATATTGCAAAATTTCTTCTTTTTAAAGGCTGAACACGCTTCCATTGTAGGTGTACACACATTTTTTAATCCACTTACCAGTTAACAGACCTTTAGATTCTTTCCATACATTGGTTAATGGAAATAGTGCTAAAGTGAACACAGTAATGCTAATATCTGTTTGAGATTCTGTTTTTAATTATTTTAAATAAATCCCAAGAAGCAGGATTGTTCTATTTTTAGTAATTTGAGGATCATCAATATTGTTTTTCATAGTGGATGCATCATTTTGCATTTCTATCAACAGTGTGTAAGGGTTCCAAAATCTTTACCAACACTTGTCTTTAAAAAAAAAAAAATTATTAGCTATTCTGACAATGTAAAGTGCTTTCTCACTGCAGTTTTGATTTGGATTTCTCTTATGATTATTGATGTCGAGTATATTTTTATATACCTGTTGATCATTTGTACATCTTCTGTGAAAAAAAAGTCTATTTAATTCCTTTACCCATGTTTTAAAATTTGGTTATTAGTTAGTATGCAATAGAGTTGTAGGAATTTTTTTACGCGTTTTAGAAATTAACCCATAAGCAGATATGTTTTGCGAATATTTTTTCCCATTCTGTAGGTCACTTCTTCATGCTTTTTATTTTTTTCTTGATATGCAGCAGCTTTATAGCTTGATGCAGTCTCACTTGTATACATTGCTTTTTTTTTGCCTGTGTCTTTGGTATCATATTCATGAAATCATTGAAAAAACCAAAATGGGTTGAAAATTCTGGCAAATACGTTGCCGCAATATCGTTTGTGTTTGGCTATCTAGCTGAGATAATGAGTTCCAGTATTAATTCCTCTAGTAAAGGGCAGATTGCTCTCTCTCTCCAAACCCACACACCCAGTCATAGGGTCAGCCTGATTTGAAGATAAACCTCCTTGCAGTAAAGGTTTTTCATGTTCTTTGTTTCAAATTTTATGCCTTCTTGCTATAAACCGTGCAATTGCCACACCGCTCCTCTGACGCTTATGGACCTTAATGAAGGCAAGTGCCCCAAGTCTATGCTTCCTTCCTGCCCGAGCTCCCTGAGCTCCATGTGTCTGGCCTTCGGGCATGCTATGTACTCTCCAAGATCTATAAGTGATAAAATCTTTATTTCCATCTTGTGTCACTCTTAATCATTTAAGGGATACTCTTCATCTTAAAGCTCCTATATTAAAACACAATGTCAGAAAGCATTTTCCATATTTTTCTTCAAGGAGTTTTACAGTTTTATGTCTAAGGTGTAAGTCTTTGATCCATTTTGAGTTTATTTTTCTGTTCAGTTTCATACATTTGAATGTGGATATCCAGTTTTCATAGGACTACTTATTGAAAACAGTTTCCTTCTCCTATTGTGTGTTCTTGGTATCCTTGTAGTAGAACAACTGAAAGTATATGAATGGCTCTGTATACGTCCTATTAGTCTATATGTCCTCACTCTAGTACTAGACTGTTGTAAACACTATGGATTTTAAGATTTTTTTTATATTAGTAAGTCCGATGCCTCCAGCTCTGTTCTTCTTTCCCAAGAATGATTTGATTATTTGGTTTTGTTTTTTTTTTTGTGGTTGCATATGAGTTTAGAATTGGTTTTTCTATTTCCTTTTTAAAAAGGCATTAATGTTTTTATAGAAATTGCAAGGAATTTGTACATGACTTTGGGGAACATGGACATGTTTAACAATGTTACTCTTTCCAATCTATGAACAAAGATTTTTAAATTTGTTTTTGTGTTATTTAATCACCTTCATCAATGTTTGGTGGTTTTCAATGCACAAGTATTTCATCTCCTTAGCTAAATTTATTTCTATGTATTGAATTCTTTTTTGCTTTATTGTAAATGAGATCTTTTAAATTCCCTTTTCAGATAGTTGCTAGTGTATAGAAATGTAATTGATTTTTGCATGTTTATTTGATACTCTAAAAATGTGCTGTATTTGTTTGTTACATCTGCTTTTTAATGGAGTTTTTAGTGTTTTCTATATGTAAGATCAAGTCTTCTGCAAGCACTTTACTTCTTCTTTTGCAATTTGCCTTTTATTGTTTATTTTTCTTGCCTAACTGCTCTAGCTAAAACTTCCATGATTACATTTAATAGAGGTGGGAAGAGTGAGAATCTTTGCTTTACTTCTAATATTGGAAGACAAGCATTCAGGTTTTCACCGTAGACTATGATGTTAGCTTTGAGATTTTTATATATGGTTCTTCTTTTAAAGTAGTTTCCTTCTATACGTAGCTTGTTAAGAGTTTTTTTATCATGAAATGGTGTTAAATTTTGTCAAATGCTTCTTCTGATCTATTAAGATAATAATACAAGTTTTAACTTTCTTTCTGCTAGTGTAATGCATTCATTGATTGATTTTTAGAAGTTGAACCACCTTTGTGCCCAAGGATTTAATCACACTTGGTAATTGTACATAATCCTTAAAATCTGCTGTTCGATTCAATTTGCTAGTATTTTGCTGAAGATTTTTGCATCTACACTAATGAGGAGTATTGAACCACAGTATTATTTTCTTGGAATATTTTTGCCTGGCTTTAGTATCAAGGAAATGCTGGCCTTATAAAATTACTTTTAAATCATTCTTTATTTTTTAAGAGATTTTATGTCTTCATTTTTGAAGAACAGTTTTGCTATGTATATTATAATTGGTAAGTTGGTTGGCAGTTTTAAAAAAATATGTTTTCAGTATCTTGAATATACTCCCTGTGGCCTGTAAGGTTTCTTTTATAAATTCACTAATAATCTAATAAGACTTTTCTCATATGTGGCAAGTTGTTTTTCTGTTATGGCTTTCAAAATTATCTCTCTTTCTTTGATTTTTGACAATTTGATTATAATGTGTCTCAGTGGGGATTCCTTTAGGCTTATTTTATTTTGTGCCCTTCAGGCTTCTAACATCTGGATTTCCATTTCCTCCACCAGATTTGGAAAATGTTTGTTTATTATTTCCTTGTATATGTTTTCTAGTCCTTTCTCTTATCTCCTACTATAAATTCCATTATGCATAGATTGATCTACTTTATGATGTTCTTTAATTCTTTTAAGCTTTTTTTCACTCTATTTTTGCTCCTCTTATTATTTTTAGTGACATATCTTTGAGTTACCGATTTTTTTTCTACTTGATCTAGTTTGTTGTTGAACATTTCTAGTGAATTTTCAGTTGAATTATTTTGATCTTCAGTTGCATTTCTTTTGGTACTTTTATACTACTTTTTATCTCCTTCATTAAATTCAGACTCTGTTTATATATAGTTTCCCAGACCTTAGTGAGCATCTTCATGATGTTTATTTTGAATCATTTTCAAATAAATAAATTGTATCCATTTCATTAAGTTTCTGAACCTTTATCTTATTCGTTTGTTTGGAGCATATTTGCCTATTTCTTCTTCTTCCTTTACTCTCTGTGCTGATGTTTGAATATTAGCTAAAACATCCTCCTCTCCCAATCTTTGGAGACTGGTTTTCTAAAGGAAAAGATCAATCAGCTTGGCCAGATACTTTATAGGCCTCTCAACCCTTCATCCTAGTCCAATGTACTTTGTCTTTTTGCACCTCACCTAGATATCTAAAGTATGCCAAACCTTTCACTGCACTAGTGAAAGTAATACTGAAGCTAGTTCTGTGGCTGCTACAAAAGTTGGGCCAATGGATGTTCCATTCATCACTTTTACTCTTTAGAGAGAAGCTGGGAGCTAGTTTTTCCTGTTTATTTTTTTTTCCTTAAATCTGCATACTCTGTATTGATCTGGGCAGAGGGTCTGTCAATTGTAAGCTAAAATCTGTGTTCCTGTTCTCATTAGCCTCCAAATGATTAGATTATTCCAAGTGTCATCAGCACTTTGAGACAAGCAGTGCAGCAACTAGTTCTTTGGGTGGTCCTCAGAAAAGCTGAGGGCTTGTAAATGCAGAAACTCTCTTTCTCTTTCAAGGGAGAAGATGGTTGCTGAAATATTTCCTCTGCTGAGTAGTCAGAAGTAGCTATGGTGACTACCAACCCAAGACATTGTCTTTGTTCTCTCCAAGGCAATTTTATTGTGCTGATCAAGTTGTTGTTCTAAGACTGACAAGTCAGAAGCCAGTAGTCTGGGGAGCTCATGCAGAAGAGGTGAGGTTCTGGACACATGGGTCAACTGTTTCCATCCCTTAGGAACCTGGGAGCTTAAAAGTCTCTTCTCAATTATATGGTACTATGTCAATGGCAGGGATTCTGGATAGAAGTTGTCCTGAGTCATTCTACTGGCTTTAATAAGTCTGGTTTTGTGTTTTCCTGGGGTGCAGGTTTTTTCCTTTCAATCCTTTTCTGGATTTCTCACAAAGGGTATTTGTTCATAATTTGTTGTTGCATCAGTGTATTTATGGGAGAAAGTAAGTTTAGGGCTTTCTTCTCCACTGTTTTGCTGATACAGCTCAAAATAAAATATTTCCGTAATCTAGTAATAATATCGATTAATTCATAATTACCTGTATGTCTTCTATTGTTTGCCTAACACTGTTCTCATCCAACTTTTAATGTATAGAAACTCTTATATACGTCACTTAAAGAAAAATTTTAACTGACTTTCAAAATATTTAGGAAAAATATGTGTTGCATTGGCAAACAAAAAGATCCCACACTAACTAATTGTATCATTCTATTTTCACATTACTATGAAGAAATACACGAGACTGGGAATTTTATCAATAAAAAGAGGTTTAATTGACTCACAGTTCCATATGGCTGGGGAGGCTTCACAATCATGGTGGAAGGCAGAGGGGGAGCAAAGGCACATGTTACATGGCAGCAAGCAAGAGCGTGTGCAGGCGAACTGCCCTTTATAAAACTATCAGATCTCGTGAGACTCATTCTCTGTCAAAAGAACAGCATCGGAAAAATTTACCTCATGATTCAATTACCTCCCACCAGGTCCCTCTAATGACACATGGGGATTATGGGAGGTACAATTCAAGATGAGATTTGGGTGGGGACACAGTCAAAATGTATCACTAAACAGCAAGAGACATTTAAAGAGTATATAAAATAGTATACCGTATTTCCGGGAGGTCAAGGTGCAGCCATGAGAAGTTCTCAAATTATACCATGCAAATATTGCTGAAAAGACCCTATTCAACCACTCAAGGTAGAGATGCAGCAGCTCCCAGCAGGCACTGGGCATGAACATCTCTGCCATGCTATATCCCAAAGTGAAATATCTTCTCTACCACCTTCACTAAATAAATGAAGTAAATAAAAACACTACTTTTTACATTGTTACTCCATGAAGATAAGGTAAGAACTACAGAAATAAGATTTTATATTCAAGCCATTTGATTACAAAAATTTCAGTGCTTGAAGTGACAGAAGTATTTAGATGTGTTTAGAGATTGTGTATGTTGAAAAAGTACAGAAGCTACATCTCCTTTTTCCTCGAGGAGTACAAAATAGTTTAAATTCTGAGTATAAATTCCTTCTTTGCATTTATACGTCCTAAAGTAAGAGAATACAGAGACTACGGTCTTGGGGGCAGATTAAAAGCTACAGAAGTCATCTAGCCCAATAGGTGGTGCTTAGCAAAGGAAAACAAGGCTAACACAAACAGTAGTTAGTATTTAAGAAGACATGTAGTGAATCAGCCATGTTTCTCAACTGGAGATCTTATTAAAATGAAGATTCTGATAGAGTAGACCTGCAATGGAACCTAAGACATACATTTCTAACTAGCTTCCAGGTGATGGGTTTGCTGCAGTCTCTCAAAACACACATGGAGTAGTATGATTTATAGTACAGTCATGCACAGCATAATGACATTTTGTTAAATTAAGGGCCACATCTACAATGGTGATCCCATAGGATTATAATGCAGCTACCTTATACAGATATACTGTTTCATATTTTTATACTGTTTTTAACTCTACTATTTCTGTGATTAGACACACAAATACTTACCGATATGTATTGCAAATGCCTACAGTATTTAGTACAGTAACAAGTTGTATAAGTTTGTAACCTAGGAGCAACAGCCTACACATTAGAGCCTAGGTATACAGTAGGCTATATCACCTAGGTTTGTGTAAGCACACTGTATGATGTATACACAATGATGATATTGCCTGAGGACACATTTCTCAGAGCATGTTCCTATTGTTAAGGAAAACATTAATTTATACACTACTAAAAGGTGATAATATTCTAGAAATAAGTGATTCAATGGTTAAGTTGACTTGTAAAATTTTTGTTTAAATTTCATCGAAAAGACTTAATTCTTACAGATTTTTCAGAGCCTTTAATCTTTAATAAGTTAAGACACATAGAGACGTCCCAGAGCATGGAATAAAGGAGGGAAGTTTTTTGTAGTGTATATAAGTTTACCTTTTCAGCTTAACTATATGTATACATGTATGTATGTTTGTGTATATATATTGATGTGTGTGTATGTGTGTGCGTGGAGAGAGAGAAGAAAAAGAAAGAGATACTTATTATAAAAATTGATTTATGCAATTAAGGAAACTGACAAGTCCCAAAATCTGCAAGGTGAGATAATAAGGAGAGCCAATGATATAGTTCCAATTTGAAGGCTGGAAACTCAGGAAGAACCAATATTTCTGTGTGAATCCAAAGGCAGAAAAAATTTGTATGTCCTAGTTTGCAGGCCATGGGTAGAAGAAATTCCCCTTACTTCCTTTTTTTTTATTCTAGGCCTTTGACTACTTGGTAAGGCTCAACTATGTTAGGGAGGGCCATCTGCTTTACCCATTCTACCAGTTTAAACATTAAACTTATACAAAAACACCCTCACAGAAACACTCAGAATATTTAACCAAATATCTGTGCTGCCAAAGACATAGTCAAATTGACACATAACATCAACCATTAAAGTTTTCATACCAATTAGTTGTGCAACTGTGGGCAACCATTGCATATATTTGAGCATAATTTTCTATGTTGTGTAATAACAGACATGGAATAAATGATAATTACAATTTCCCCTCTTAAGTTATGCTTTTCAATGTTGTCAAAATGTTAAGATCATGAGCAATTTGAAGGAAGCTGAGTACAAATCAAGTGATCTATAAGATTATTTTGCCATATTTTCCCACAGCTCTGTTGTTGAAATTAACAGTGTAAAACTTTATTGAAATTTTATATACTGATTTTACATGTTTCCTCTTTTCACTCCTATAGGACAAAATAAATCAGAGTTTCATGGCACAGGTTTTATTTTTCATCTTAGATAGGAGGAAACCGAAGACCCAGTTGTGTAAGGAATCTCTCCAAACTATAAAAGATGTAGTGCAGACTACACTTTCAATTTACAACATCCTGACCTAGTACAGATAGGTTGCCATTTCTGTTCTCAAAAAATTGAATTCTCTCTCAGTGATTCTCTTTCATCTATTACTTAGAAAAAAATAGTTTGCCATTCTTTGTTAGTTCTACTTTTATCTTTTCATTTTCTTTAATGTTTTGTGCAAACCTACATTTTTGTTCTTTATTGTGTTTTATTCCTTTTCAAAGCAATTTTGTTATTCTAGATGATATGAACACCAAGCAAAATGTAATTATAAATGTTTCAAATAACATCTGAAAATTTTTGGCATTAGTAATTCATTCTTCAGCTATTTTTCCCCACTACATAAATTTTTATAAATATGTCAATAATTGTGAAGGATAGCACTTCTTATTAGTTGTAGTAAAATATTTTAAAAAGCCCTAGTGTAACAGTGTGTTAGTGTCAAATAGGACTATTTTTCAGCCCAAATGGAGACCCTACCTCTGAGACAAGACAATTTATTCATATTGCTAAGAGTCAACAATAAGTATATAATACTTAGTCTGATCCACATCACAACTTGCAAAGTCTTCATAAAAATTAAATGCAAATCATCAGCATGCCGAAATTAACAGCACTGATAGATGTAACACATTTTACAAACACTGAAAACTCACTAATTGAAATAAAAATGGAAAGTTTTAACCTTTGCAAAATAAGCCAATGAGTATGTTTTTTCACTTCAGTTTGATCAGTTTCAAACACTCTAATGTTGGCCTAAGTTGATGATTGCTTGCATGGTTATTTATAAGATAATTAGGTTCAGCTTTGAACATGTAAAACAATAAATGCCTCCTGAAGCACAGATCAAAATTTGCTTCTGCAGGTTAGCTGTTTTGAGCTTAGAGTTTTCGACATGAATTTATTTTTTGAACATATATTTTTATAACTTTCTCAGCTCAAGTGCTTATAAGTTTTGAAATTTAAACTTTTTACAGAGGAATAATATGGGAATGACTGTGAAAGGATATGAGGCTGATTTGAAATGCTGTACTTTAGAATTTTGCTCTCATTTTGCCATCTGAGAACATGTCCCACATCAAAATCAACAGTACTCAAGATCAATCCATTTTTTGGATACACTTACCTCATTTCCTGTCATAATTTCTTATCCTCACAGTCCATCCTTCATGTTAAGAAATTTCTTCAAATTACAAAAAATGTAGTGCAGAATACACTTTTGACTTATACTATTCTGACCTAGTCCAAGCAGTCTTAACCAGTTAAAGGAAAGTGTAAAAGACTTTTTTAAGGGTAAAATTCATTTATTCATTTATTTAATCAATACTTATTGAGCACCTTCTTTATGCCGGCCTTCAAAGAAACAGATAAATATATGAATTCTCATGAGGTTTCTTGAGCAGTACTTTTCAAACTTTACTGTGCAAATTAATAAACTAGGGATCTTGTTAAAATGCAGATATTGATTCTGTAGATATGGGTGGTTTTGTGATTCTGATTTTCTTTTTTTTTTAGTATACTTTAACTTCTAGGGTACATGTGCACAAAGTACATGTTTGTTACATATGTATACATGTGCCATGTTGGTGTGCTGCACCCATTAATTGGTCATTTAACATTAGGTATACCTCCTAATGCTATCCCTCTTCCCTCCCTCCACCCCACGACAGGCCCTGGTGTGTCATGTTCCCCACCCTCTGTCCAAGTGTTCTCATTGTTCAATTCCCACCTATGAGTGAGAACATGTGGTGTTAGGTTTTCTGTTCTTGGCGATAGATAGCTCAGAATGATGGTTTCCAGCTTATTCTATGTCCCTACAAAGGACATGAACTCATCTTTTTTTATGGCTGCATAGTATTCCATTGTGTATATGTGCCACATTTTCTTAATCCAGTCTATCATTGTTGGACATTTGGCGTGGTTCCAAGTCTTTGCTATTGTGAATAGTACCACAATAAACATACATGTGCATGTGTCTTTATAGCAGCATGATTTATAATCCTCTGGGTATATGCCCAGTAATAGGATGGCTAGGTCAAACGGTATTTCTAGTTCTAGTTCGTTGAGGAATTGCCACACTGTCTTCCACAATGGTTGAACTAGTTTACAGTCCCACCAACTGTGTAAAAGCATCCCTATTTCTCCACATCTTCTCCAGCACCAGTTGTTTCCTGACTTTTTAATGATTGCCATTCTAACTGGTGTGAGATGGTATCTCATTGTGGTTTTGATTTGCATTTCTCTGATGGCCAGTGATGATGAGCATTTTTTCATGTGTCTGTTGGCTGCATAAATGTCTTCTTTTGAGAAGTGTCTGTTCATATCCTTTGCCCACTTGTTGATGGGTTTGCTTGATTTTTTCTTGTAAATTTGTTTAAGTTCTTTATAGATTCTGGATATTAGCCCTTTGTCAGATGAGTAGATTCCAAAAATGTTCTCCCATTCTCTAGGTTGCCTGTTCACTCTGATGGTAGTTTCCTTTGCTGTGCAGAAGCTCTTTAGTTTAATTAGGTCCCATTTGTCAACTTTGGCTTTCGTTGCCATTGCTTTTGGTGTTTTAGTCATGAAGTCCTTGCCCATGCCTATGTCCTGAATGGTATTGCCTAGGTTTTCTTCTAGGGTGTTTATGGTTTTAGTTCTAACAGTTAAGTCTTTAATCCATCTTGAATTAATTTTTGTATAAGGTGTAAGGAAGGGATCCAGTTTCAGCTTTCTACATATGACTAGCCAATTTTCCCAGCACAATTTATTAAATAGGGAATCCTTTCCCCATTTCTTGTTTTTGTCAGGTTTGTCAAAAATCAGATGGGTGTGATATTATTTCCAAGTGCTGTATTATGTTCTGTTGGTCTATATCTCTGTTTTGGTACAAGTACCTTTCTGTTTTTGTTACTGTAGCCTTGTAGTATAGTTTGAAGTCAGGTAGCGTGATGCCTCCAACTTTGTTCTTTTGGCTTAGGATTGTCTTGGCAATGCGGGCTTTTTTGGTTCCATATGAACTTTGAAGTAGTTTTTTCCAATTCTGTGAATAAAGTCATTGGTAGCTTGATGGGGATGACAGTGAATCTATAAATTACCTTGGGCAGTATGGCCGTTTTCACAATATTGTACTTCCTATCCATGAGCATAGAATGTTCTTCCATTTGTTTGTGTCCTCTTTTATTTTGTTGAGCAGTGGTTTGTAATTCTCCTCAAAGAGGTCCTTCACATCCCTTGTAAGTTAGATTCCTAGGTATTTTATTCTCTTTGAAATTAATCTGAATTGTTTCCTTACTTTAGTCCAACCCCATAAGATTAATCTGCTGAACATAACTATTTTTGAAGACCATGTATTCCTCAAAAAGTACTAGTTTTTCTACACTGTCTTTATTAAAAAGCCCTAACATACTGAAGTAACATTTTGAACATTTTACAAACAACGCAGTCTACTTTTCTAGATGTATCATCTATCAATTCTATTCAAGTACTTAAAGTTTCAGCAACACCAAACCTCTACATTGATACAAACTGTATTTCTAATACCCATAACCCTCCTGTTATTCCCTGCCACAGTGTTACTCTCACTTGTATTTCCACCTCCAAAAACCCATCTTTATCCTTCAAATGCTACATTCTCCACTGAAGCCACCTCATTCTGCCCAAAACAAAACTAATTTACCCCTTCTCTGTTTACCCCCAAATGCTTTGTTTCTCTGTTACTAAATAATTACTGTCTCTTGAGACCAAGCATATTGTAAATCAAAGGAAACTGATATATATTACAGGAAATAGATAAGATCTGGCATATAAAAAGTATTTTTTATTGTTTGTTGATTTTTTTTTTTTAATATTCAGCTGAAGTCCCTTGATTCTTCCATTTAAGGATATGCTAAATGCAGGACTAGGGCAGCATATCGTGTGACTTGAAAAATCTCTAAGGTATTCTCAAACTTACATTTTCATCATCCCAACTAGAACTCTTTCTTTTTTTTAATTTTTATCGATACATAACTTTTGCAGATATTTATGGGGGTACGTGTGATATTTTGATACATGCATACAATGTGTAAAGATCAAATCAGGGTAATTTGGATATTTTTTATCTCAAATATTTATCATTTCTTTTTGTTGGGAATATTTCAGATTTTCTCATCTACATTTTTAAAGATATATAATAAATTCTTTGTACTTATAGTTTCCTTACTATGCTATCCAAAATTCAAAATTATTTTTTCCATCCGACTATATTTTTGTACTCACTAACCAACTTCTCTTTGTCCCCATTCAGCCTCTAGTAACCACCATTTTACTTACTACCTCCATGAGATACACTTTTTTTAACTCCCACATGTAAGTGAGAGGATGGCATACTTGTCTTTCTGTGCTTGGCTTATTTTACTTAACATGATGTTCTCCAGTTACATCCATGTTTCAGCAAATGACAGGATTTTATTCTTTTTATGGCTGAATAATATTCTGTATATATATATAATATATAGATATATAGATATAGATATATAGAGAGATATCTATATTTATATATAGATAAATATATCTATATCTCTGTATTTCTCTATATAATATATATATCTGTATAGTGTATATATATACTTTTAAAACATTTATTGATCTGCTGATGGACACTTAGGTTGATTCTATACTTTAGCTATTATAAGTAGTGCTGCAATAAACATGGAATTGCAGATACCTCTTCGATATATTATTTTTCTTTTTTTTGAAATACATACCCAGAAGTGAGATTGCTGGATTACATGATAGTTTTACTTTTAGTTTTGTTTTTTTTTTTTGGAGAAACTACCATATTGTTTTCCAAGATAGCTGTATTAATTTACATTCCTACCAACAGTGTACTATCATTCACCTTTCTCTGAATTCTTCACAGCTTCTGTTATTTTCTGTCTTTTTGATAATAGCCATTTAACCTGGGATGAGATGATATTTCATTGTAAATTTGACTTGGATTTTCCTGATAATTAGTGATTTTGAGCACTTTCGTATACCTGTCAGCCATTAATACTTCTTCTTTTAAGAAATATCCATTCAGTTCACTTGTAATTTTCAAATCAGATTACTGTGCTGGTTTTTTTTTTTTTTTTGGCTATTGTTGTTTCGATTCCTTATAAATCCTGGTTATTAATCCTTTGTCAGATGAATATTTTTCTCCCATTCAGTAAGTTGTCTCTTTATGTTGTTGATTTCTTCCTTTGCTGTGTAGAAGCGTTTTAGCTTGATATAATTCCATTTGTCTATTTTTGCTTGTGTTGTCTATGTTTTTGAGGTCTTATTCAAAAAACCTTTTTCAGATTAATGTTCTGAAGCATTTTTCCAATGTTTTCTTCTACTAGTTTATAGTTTCAGGTCTTACATGTACGTTATTTCTGGGTGGCATGGGCTATGTGGATTCAAACTGTCTCAAGACTTCATTTTTAGAAGTCATATTGCATTTTTAACAGGGACTAGATTTCTGCTGAAAATTATTATTAGCATCTTTTCAGGGAACTGCAGAGCAACAAGATATCAAAGTGGTCAATTAGAATAATGAATCAAATCAAATGTAGCAATTAAACCTTTATTAGTTTACCGTAACTGTATAAGCAAGATGCAAAAAGAGGCCTCAGCTCTACAGTTTTCCATATTTCTCATGGAATGACATCTGGCAAGGTCAGGTAAAGAGGAACACATGGAGGAAATGATGGACCCAACATAATCTGTATGTCAAGAATGCCCTGGGCTCTTTCCTGGGAGGATCTGGTCCTAGGCAGTATATTTAGCATGGGTCAGGGTCTTGCAGGTGAGACACTTTTTCCTGTTTCAGCGTTTTCTAATGGCAATGGCAATCCACATGTGTAGGCCCAGTCTAAGTTGATGTCTGAATCTCTAGGAGAATTCATCCTGTGAATCTAAGAATTAATTAGTTGCACATATGCTTGATCCGGAATGGAAGACAATTCAGTCTTCACATTTAGCTGACAAGAGTGTTCTGTTCTTCAATTTTGTTCTCCTTCTGGTAAGTATTCACATGCGTAACCAAAAGCTTATCAGAAGCAGAGCCGTTTTTTTATCTAAGTGCCTCATCTCCATCAGGACGGGGAGGACTTGGTTTATAAGCCAGTCCAAGGCTTGCCATTGGAAGAACTAACCACCAGACCATTAGCCATAGTCCGTAAGTCAATGAAAATGTAATATGGCTCACTGCTGGATGGCCTGGGTAGTCATTCATACCATATGAAGCTCTGCCTATTATGTTGAACGTCTTTACTGTGCTCTGTAAGCGATGCATCTATCTGAGGTTGGATTACTTTGAGTAGACAGTAGCGCTAGACACCATTAGTCAGATTGCTTCTTGGCACTCTACATACCCTACCAAAATTACCCTAAATTAAAGCAATTTCCTCAGGACATGGGGGCAAAGGCAAGCAGAACTGCACATATGCAAGGCATCCAATGCAGTCATTTATTCAGTATTAGGGGCCATAACAATGGGGGTTTGTAGGGGCCCAATTGAATCAATTCATATCTGGTCTCAGTAAGAGTCCAGGTTGTGGTAGCTTCAGATGTAACACTGGAGAGTAGTATCTGTTTTCACCTCTTCCTGGTGCCAGGGTATGGGGGGATCACAGTCAACCATGTACTGGCATCCAACAAGCCAAAGAAATGCAATTCTTTCCTATCTCCCCCTTGAACCCTGACCTTGACATAGGGACTTTGGTATTGCCTGCGGACAAAGGAACACTGGCCTAGTCTTATTACTTTTTTTAGCCTTATTAATTTTTAAGAGTTGAAAGGTCCGGGTAAAAGTCGACAGAGTTCTCTGATTCATCTCCAAACTCATTTGGAGTGGTGTAGGGAATAGTACTGAGACAGCCGTAGAGACCATCATCCCAAGGACTCTAGAGTGACTGTCCCTTGGGATATATAAGTTAGAAGTGTGTGTGTGTGTGTGCACGCGCACACACGCACGTGTATGTAAAGGGCATGATGGGGAACAGAGAGAAAATGAAGGCAGGTGTGTAAATCACCAGAAAAGGATTATAAGAAGCCTGTGGTAGCATGAATAAAGACTGGCTTTCTTACATAGAAGTAGGCATGCACAAAAAAAATAGGCTCAGTATGTATAGCAAAGATACTAAGCTACCATAAGGACATTGTTAAGCTGTGATGCCAACATTACTGTTGTGAGCTTTACATACTAATACATTTAAAGTTTAATAAACATTTGATATGTGAAAACAGGCATAAAATAAATGAAAATGGACACTGAATTTTGGGACATATCACAGAATTAGCCGGAAGCTTTTGAATGCTATGTAGAGATGAGTAGAAGTATCTAAAAGCCTTCTTCCCTGCTTCTGATGAAACTTTCTGTTCTTTTTTTTTTTTTTACAGTTTGCAAATTTATCATAGTCTTTTGAAATATATTGAAACTTTTACAAATTATTCTTTATTATAGAGCTGGACACTTTTATCAATCAAAATCTGTATCCTTGTCTGGAGCCATCCTCTGAGACTTTCTTGAGACAAATAATATACTCACAGTTAAAGTGAGAGAGAGCTCTACCACTCTCCTCCAGTGATTTCTCTTTAAGAAACTTCTCTGAAGACTTAATTTATTCTAGCTCCATGTCCATTGGAGCTTAGTCAACTTTGCTGTGATATTTACTATTTCGGTAATGATGACTCAGTGAATGCACAAATGAATTGGATTTACATTTGATATAGCTATAAAACTTTTCATTTTTATTACTGCCTATATAAGATGTAATCAATCCTTTGTCAAACCATCCATTTGAATTTGAGGTCACTACATTTAGAGGTTAATTTTTCCAGTACGCCTCAGCATCAAAGGGAAGTTAACTTATTGATAATTTTGCCCCTTTTTTTAGTCTTTTGAAGACAACACATGCTCTAATCTGTTCATGTTATTGTTCCCCAAACTGGTTTGCATGTCCAGCTATGAAGGATGATATCCCAGTGATATATGATATTGCAGATATGAGATATGCTTAATGCTAATAAAAATGGAGCTATAAATGCTTTTACTCTATCAGGATATTAAGACTGCCACAAAGCCTTCACTTTTTTCGTTGCTTTTGATAAATGAAGTCCAGGAAAATGTTTTGGAACCATAAACAATGTATATTGACAAGCTGAGTCAAGGATGGAGGCAAATTTCATTATTTGCAAGCATTCATTTTGACCATTAATCATTTATTTTCATTTGCAGTTACCTAAAATATTCAGCATTTACCCCAAATGTTGACAAGATTCTAAACTCTGAGCACAGGGGCAAATGTTTGAAAAGAACATGAAAATAAAACAATACAGGTGATAATATTGTCCTGACCATGCTTTTTTGATCTTGGGAAGACAGTAGCTCTCAATAAATATATGAAATATTGGAGTTGGAAACCAGAGAAAATATCTTATTATTTTGTTTAAATTTGGAGATGAGATCTCTCTATGTTGCTCAGACTAACCTCAAACTCCTGAGCTCAAGGGATTCACCTTCCTGAGCCTCCCATATAGCTGGGATTGCAAGTGCACATCACCATATCCAGATTGACATCTTAAATATTTGAAGACAGTATTTCTCAAAATCTATAGATGGAAAAAAAATCTGAAACACAGTTTCCTAGAATGTAGTTTTATGAGCCCCACTTGAGCACTTTTAAACTAGATTTTCTTGGAAATTGCAGTCAAGGAGGTCTACACATTTTATTGAGATCATCTGGAAAGTTTCTGTAACCTCCAAATTGAGAAACACTGTCCACGTTAAGTTATACTGGGAGAGTCACTCAAGTCAGATACCTTGAGAGGAAAGTTAATAGCTGTGGATCTGCTCTGATTGAGGCGAGTTTGAAAGTCAGAGTGTGATCTGCTCAGCTGCCTCCTCAGTTCATGGTGCCCTCACGTAGCCCTTAAGGATCCTTAGGCCACACTTGGTAAAGCACTACTCACCTCCCTCAACTATTCTATATTTAGGTACAATTACCATAAGTCTGAAACTGCTTTAGGCAAAGGAGGTAGAAAAGTGATCAAGACTAAAATCATCCTTGTGTGGTTTTTTTTGTTTTGTTTTTTGTTTGTTTGTTTTTTAATCTAACTAGTGTGTCAGATGGTGACTCGTTTCAGGGCTAAAAACAAATCAGGAAGAGAAATTGGGAATTTTGGAATTGGAAGAGTGCACTGCAAGTAGGCTAGACTTTGTAGAGTTTATCTTCAAAATGCTTTGATTTTCTCAACTAGTTAGAGAGAAAGGTCATCAGCTGAGAATGATGGATGGGGGTTGTTCCTGGGAGTTTCGGAAAAGAGGAGAAATTAGAAATAGTCATCTAGGAGAATAGGAGAGAAGGCAGAAATGGCACTTACTGCATGGTCACTGGGCAGCATAAAAGCACATTTGAGGTTAGTGATCATAGATTTAAAGTGCAGCTCATCGGTGTTGTTTTCCAGACGTGTTCAGCTGCAGTGTTGCAATCTCCAAATATAGAAAAATTTGATTTTATGAGTATTGTCATCTTGCCAGGGGATTGAAAAAAAATAATAATTTAGAATGAAATGTAAGAAACTGATTATAATCAATATTTGTGGGGGTTTTAGCTAGAGATAGTGTATAACAGGGATGTACACTGTACAAGTAAGTACAGGCTTCTCGTTTATCTGAAGTTTATAAGCACAGATGTTCCTGAAATACCTCTTTTACTCATTGTTGTAGGAGAAAAGTAACAGTTTCATTTCTTTAAAGTGTGGAATGTCATATCTGCTTTGTTACCCCCTAATACTCTGCATACATCTCTATCAATACAATCACAGCATCATCTTAGTTAATTATCTCTGTGCCTGCCCCAGTAACCTGCCCAGATCATAAAAGGGAAGGCAATTGTCTTCTTCCTCAGGCACAGAGCCTAGTACATAATAAAGGCTCAATCATAAAATATTTTGATTTTACTTGCTTTGAACAATGTCACCATCTTGTAAACCTTAAAATATTATCATTATATTTTTTGAAATTGCACATTATGCTTAATAATGTGATTACTTTCTGACCTTTACCTATGAACTAGTTGAAATTAATAGATTAAAAACAAGAATTTACCTGGAAATGCTAATTTTGCATATCTCTTCTTTAATATCTGTCCAAATAAGTAATATTTTGGTTATCTTTTCAGGTTGCTTTTTCAAAATTTTGGTGTCAAGGGAAATAAATATTGAAATTTTCATAAATTAAGAAGAGAATATTTACTATAGACAATGATTATATATCATAAGAATTAAGGAACAGAATATAAAATATATTTGACTTTTTTTTTCCAATTGGAAAGCCATCAGAATTCAAGCTAGTTTCTTGACCTTATATGAACAGGGAGTTCTTTCCTTTCTGCTTCTCACTGCTATTATTTTTCATAGTACTTTCTCAGCATATTAAGTGTTTTGGGTTTTGTTTTTACATATTTTTACTGTCTATGGCTCAGATAGGTTGTCCTTTTTATTTTTGGCTTCATTATTCTAAATAACCCAACTCCATCATCCAGATTCCTTTTTATCAACAGGCTCCATGTTTCAATTGACTCCTCATTTGGTGAGTTTTCCAAACCTAAATGAATGAGCTGGGAAGTGAGTCAAGACCTGTGGGTTGATGTTCTCAAAAGAAATTATGACTTCTTTTGAGAAATGATTATTCAGATCTTTTGTCCATTGTTTGATCTGGGGGCTGGGGGGAGGTGAGAATGGTAAATGGGTACAAAAAATATTAAAAAATGAATAAGAGCTACTATTTGATGATGCAATAGGGTAACAATAGTCAATAATAACTTGATTGTGCATTTTGAAATAACTTAAAGAGTATAATGGGATTGTTTGTAACTTGAAGGAGATATGTGAAAACACATTATGTACTCTATAAATATATGCACCTTCCATGTACCCACAAAAATTAAAAATAATAATAAAAAAGAAATTATGATTAGGAGAGGCATTAAGTGACATCTGTTAATCATGCTTTCAAATGATAATGTATCATTGACTGACAAATATCACTCCACAGCTACCTCTGAATTTATTTGTTGCACCTCTGAATTACTGCAACAAATAAAATACAAGATGTTTCTATAAAAAGTTCTAGACACTTGTAATTAAACTTGGAGCATCACAAAGCATTTATCATAAATGCACTATTTCATTTACTAAATCTACTATATATCAGTCACTCTGCTAGATACCTTTCACATATTTTATTTTTATTTACAGTAGGATTTGTTCTATTCACGTCTTTGTTTACAGCATTTAATGGGCTTAGGTGGGGCTAAGAGCAGTGGGCATGAAATAAATAAATAATGGATACAATAGCTGGGCTCAATAAATGTAGTTTTGATAATTCAATCGAATGTTATAGTATTGATTCCTGAAAAGATAAGATGATAGAGCAATAGAAGACAAATACTAAATTCAGTTATACACCCTTTTATTGACCTGTGATTAATATAAGTCTCCACCAATGGAGTTCCTAATGATGGTTATACTTGTGCTGAAGAGGTGAAAGATGTGGAAAGGATGTTCTAGATGGAGAAATTGAGCAGAGACAAAAGCATGGAGGTGGGGATGAATGTTACACAGCAGAATAACACGAGGATGAAGACATCATTGTGATCAAACTATTTTCATATTATCTACTCAGTTCTTGGTAGAAAGTTTCAGATGGAAGTTACAATAGCAAAAGTGTAAATAAACAAGGGAGAATATGACAGCAATCTGTTTCACCATCTGCATTTCTTTTGTAACTAAAATCAAATACCTTGTAAAACAACTGCTTGTGTAAATCTCAAACCTGAAGAAATACCATGTAAATGAGTTTCTGTATAACGTGGACACTGATGATGAAGGGTAAAACGTAGATGGATTTATTAATTTCTGTGATTAAATTATCATCAGGAACATTGTATTGAATTTACAATTGGTGTTTTATTTCAAATAGTGTAATATTGAATAATGAGTTTAGTCTCACATTTCTTCCAATGTGGGTGCAAATGTGGTCAACTTAATGGCAAAATTCAAATAATTGTTGAATTTGTAAAAAATATCAATATGCTAATTGCTCCAATTTTGACATTCATTAGGCACATAAATTTTTGGAATAATAGTTTTCATAATTTTGCATAACGATTCTATTTGTCAGAAATAAATACTGTACTGGAAAATTATGCATCCTTTGAGTCTATTTTAGTCGTTTATCTGAAACCTTTTTTATAGACCCAAGAGAAGCATGCTTTCTTTGTAATTTTAAATATATGTTGCTTATGATGGGTCTGAGATCATCTATAGAAAGATCATTTGACTGCCAGAAATAAATACTGGAAAAACACAGGCTAGGATTTTGCTTTAGTCTTTTATGAGTAGCCTTTCTCCTAAACCAAAGAGAAGCATGTTTTCTTTATAATTTTAAATATATATTGCAGAGGATGAATCTGAGATCATTTATACATACTTTTTGTTTGTGTTCTGAAGCATAGAAGAGATAGCTGTTCTTTGAAGCCTGAGAATTATTACTGAAAAAAATTCTGAATATTAACCAGAATTTCTTACTCCTAACTGCATCTTCATGGGAAATTAAGGTGATAAGAAATATGAGTAAGAGATGGCATTGGAGAGAAGAGTATAACAACAGGGGTTTATGTGCAAATTTGCCTACTTTTTCAAAAAAGAAAATGTAAGAGATAGAGGAAAAAATAATTATTAAAATGTATTTCCACTTATAAAGTAAAGTTGTTTCGTATTAAAAAACAGAGTCTGGAAGTCCCATCCTATTTACTAAAATCATCTTCAATAAGCATCTTCAGAATTGATTGAACTAATAATTGAGTATTTCTAGAATGAAAACATGGCCAATAAATATCATTTTAAATATAACTGCTACTGCTGTCTATCTGTGGCTAGAAAAAATATATATTTTAAACCATATATATCACAATAAGAAATATACTTTGAGAAAATAGTCTCTGTTTCAGATACTACAGTATTTTACTAAATATGTGTTTGTATGTCGAAGGTGGTTTTTTGTTGTTGTTTTGTTTTGTTATTTCAAAGCACTACTTATGCCTAGGTCATGACCCTAGGGTAAGGATTTTGTAGAAAGCCTGTCTGTCATTTTCAGTTTAAATTATCTGAATACAAAAATGAAGTATTAACTGTTTTAGAAGCTAGTACTAAAATATCTAGTCCTGGGTGTAAACTGAGAGAAAAGAGGTCACTGGGGAGTGATGCACCTCATTGTGTAAGAGGTAATCTGGGCATTTGTAACCAGTCTATGGCTCTGTAATGCCAGTGAATTATAATCAGTGTACTGATTTTCACTGGAACTAGTCAAGTAATTATTTAAAAAATGGAAATATTTATGGTATTATGAGGCTCAAAAGAGTAAAAAAATCTGTTTAATCTGTTTTTATAACATACTATGTTCTCCATGAGCATATTATATATATAAAGCCTGTCAAAATTTGGTACTAAAAAAGAATTTATTTTGTTAAAATAAATGACGCTAGTATCAAACTATGCACTTTTTTAACTTGTAATATTTACAGAAATTCACGTAAAAAGCAAAGAACAATAAAACCCCCACCAAAGTATTGCTTGCATAATTGTGCTCCCAAACCCCACCCCCCACAACACATACACTCAGAAAGATGCCTTTATGTTTGAGATGCCATAGTTTTATATTAAGACCATAGTGACATAGGGTGCTGAAGAAACATTTTCAGAATTGTCAGTAAGCCATTCACAGGCCTTGGGTGTTTTCAGTTTACTGAGTGTGAGGGAATCTCAGATCCCAGTATTTCTGACCACACTCAACTTCCTGATAAGTACCCTACTTTCTCCACTGCCGGCCATGGTTAAGCAGTACAGGACAGCACAGCAAGTGCTCTCTATACCCTGACAGCTCCAGATATGTCAAGAAAACAACACACCAACATGGAAAAGACATCTGCACTCACATGCATATTGCAGCACTGTATCACAATACCTAAAATATGGAATAAAACTAAATGCCCATTAAGAGATGAATGAATAAAGAAAATGTGGTATATATGCACAAAGGAATATTATTAAACCTAAAAAAGAATGAAATTTGGTCATTTGCAGCAACATGGATGGAAATGGAAGTAATTATCAGACATTACATTTATACTAATCTGATTAACAAACATCTATTGAGCACTTGCTCTGAATCAAGTCCTATACTAATCTTTTGGAGTAGGTAAATGAATAAGACATATTTCTACTTTCATGGAGCAATCTGAGTTTGGATAAATTAACATGTAAATAAACCATAACAAAGTGATCAAAGTAAAACAAGAAACAAGAACATATGTCTTAGGAAGGATGGAGTAATTATTTGAACCTGGAATGGAAGAGTACTTTCAGGAAGGTATAGTGGAAGAGGTTTCATATTATCTGAGATTTGGAGGAATAATAGCAGTTTTCATGGCAGACAGAGAGGAAAAGGACATTTCTGGGTAAGGAATCATATTTGCAAATGTACATTATATAATCCACTAACAGCTGCTCTGCTAATTGAAGAGAGAGAGAGACAATCATCTCTTTCTCTCTCTCGTGTGTGTGTGTGTATATATATATATATATATATATATAGATATCATTGAGAATGATATCTATAGCTATTACTGAGATACATCAAGTAATACAGGATAATATAGGGAATAGAGCAGTGTCTCAAAAAAGAAAAACCAGTGAATTCTGTTTGGGTTTAAAGAAATAACAAAACCTGGAAATGGGTTGTATCAATCACAGTCATGGCAGAAAACAAATTACACACCCCAATTAGGCAATTCACAGAGAGTTGGTATAAAAGAAAAAAAAAAAAGAAAAAAAAACTATTTTCAAAGGTGTGTGAAGGAGAAAGGGAAACCACAAGGGCTATTCACTGCATCAGGGCCAGTATCAGCATGAGGTAGATACCATTACAGCTCCTATGGGGAAAGGAGGAAGCAGTTATCTGCCTGGACATGTAGTTCTGTGAGTAGAAGGATGGTAGTCTTTGAGCACAGAAGTACAGCTTCCTAAGGAGATCCAACAGGGGAGGAGGCTATGGGAATAAATAAACTGGCCTTGTTATTTTCACTTAGTTCTAGCTACTGTCACTTCTCTCCATGGGTCAAAGCAAACAGAACCAGAAGCCTGCAGGTGATTAGTCATCCACCCTAGTCAGCATCCACCCTAGGCACCAAGCAGAGCAGAAAACGGTAGAAGCTTTATCTGAAAAGATAAGTAGAAGACATCCAGTCCAGGGCTCAACTTCTGCCTTTAGGATTTATTGCATACATTGAAGTTGAAAATTGCCCAATCATCTGCTTTTTTTCTAGAAATATGTTAACAATAAATTCATAAAATACTAGAGTTAGTATATACATATATTTTCATATGCCATAAAAATATCAGAAGACATGTACGTTTGTTTATTCATTTATCACAGAGGCAAAACAAACTAATTGAAACTCTCACAGGGTTTCATGGACCCAACTTTGGAATCAACTCATTCTATTCTTATCACTCAGTTATTAGGCCCCTTTCAAATTGCAAGGTACCAAATTTTCTATTAACAGATCATTTCCTACTACTTAGATAAACAGTAATCATTACTGGCATAGTTCTAAGTTTTACAGGAATATGAAACATAAAATGTCAAGAAAATATTGTGAAATTTCTTTAGTCATAATCTCATCTAAATCATGAATATTATATTTTGTATGCTATAGACAGAGCAGTATCAAAAACTTGTGTTCAAATGTTATCAGTTACTTAGTGCCATAAGTACCTCAGTGGCTTATGATAGGAGAAAGCAAAGCAATCATTTGTCAGAAGTTATATGACCTAGAAAGCCTTTGCTATGAAAATGCAATTTCACAAGATGACCATGGGCACAAATATTAGAAACCTCTTTTGTGAACATGAGTTTTGATAGAAAGAATTCACCCAAGAAAATAATTTGGTCATTTTCTTGAATCTGTGTTATGATAATTGTCATGAATTATTCTGGGTTATGTACTAAAGTTGATTTGAACAAAAGCTACAAACAAGGAAATATATGGGACCCATAGTGTAAGCAATTTTTGAAGAACTAATTTTTCTTTGTATTGTTGCTAAAATAATAATCATTAATAATAATAATAAACAAAATATATTCAAATAATATATTTATTTTTAATATTTAAATCGGCTGTTTTTAAGTTTTTAAGTATACAGGTATTGAACCAGAGGCCATGCCGTAGAGAAAATTTAGGAGAGAGAAGCTCAGGTTTCTAGATGTAAAAAGGCTAAATTGCTTAGAGTTATCATAGAATCACTAAATTCCCAAAGTTTTCTTGTTCTCAAGTAATATGATATGTATAAGAAGTTTTGAATTACTAGATTTTTTATCATAGACAAACTCAGTAATAAACCTTATAATTCCAGAACTAAGAAGAAACAACAACTACTACCGTTGCACTTTAATTTTTATTAATTAGTAAATTTCCAGTATCCATGGATGTTTACTCCAATTAGCAAGTGATATCAGGGGAAACCACCCCCGATATGTCACAAGCGTCCTTTTCTATTTTCCCTAAGTGTCGGCTGGTCTGATAAATAAACAGAAAGAGTAAAAAAGAGAGAAATTTTAAAGTTGGGCATCCGGGGGTGACATCACATGTCGGTAGGTTCCATGATGCCCCTCAAGCTGCAAAACCAGCAAGTTTTTATTAGTGATTTTCAAAAAGGGAGGGAGTGTACAAATAGGGTGTGGGTCACAGAGATCACATGCTTCACAAGGTAATAAAATATCACAAGGCAAATGGAGGCAGAGCGAGATCACAGGACTGGGGTGAAATTAAAATTGCTAATGAAGTTTGGGGCATGCATTGTCATTGATAACATTTTATCAGGAGACACGGTTTGAGAGCAGACAACTGGTCTGACCAAATTTATTAGGCAGGAATTTCCTTGTCCTAATAAGCCTGGGAGCGCTACGGGAGACCGGGGCTTATTTCATCCCTTATCTACAACCATAAAAGACAGACGTTCCCAAAGTGGCCATTTCAGAGGCCTCCCCCTGGGAAAGCATTCTCTTTCTCAGGGATGTTCCATGCTGAGAAAAAGAATACAGCGATATTTCTCCTATTTGCTTTTGAAAGAAGAGAAATATGGCTCTGTTCCGCCCAGCTCATGGGCAGCCAGACTTTAAGGTTATCTCCCTTGTTCCCTGAACATCGCTGTTATCCTGTTCTTTTTTCAAGGTGCCCAGATTTCATATTGGTTAAACAATTTGTGCAGTTAACACAATCATCACAGGTTCCTAAGGTGACATTCATCCTCAGCTTACTAAGATGATGGGATTAAGAGATTAAAGACAGGCATAGGAAATCACAAGATTATTGATTGGGGAAGTGGTAAGTGTCCATGAAATCTTCACAATTTATGTTCAGAGATTGCAGTAAAGACAGGCGTAAGAAATTATAAAAGTATTAATTTGGGGAACAAATAAATATCCATGAAATCTTCACAATTTATGTTCTTCTGCCATGGCTTCAGCCGGTCCCTCTGTTCAGGGTCCCTGACTTCCCACAACAAAGTATATAACTTAAGTGGAAACATATGAAAGCAGAATCAACAGCTTGCATACGTACTTTACTATGTGATCACTCATATAAGCCTTAAAGCAATTTAAGGAGGTAGGGAAGTAATTCAGGTTGATTATCCTCCTTTTTCTGATATGGAAAAGCTGGTCATAGAGCAGGCTAAAGGAAATCCTACTCCTAAGACTTATTATTATTTTGATTTTTACATTGTATTCGTATTATTCCCATTAAATTATACTATCTTCTGTGGAAAGAATTTTAAAAGTTGGTGAGGTCATTCTGACACAATGACAAAAGACATTTTATATAAATGCAAAATACCTAATATAATTAAAATATATCTATTAAATCCTTATTTTGTACCACACACTGTTTTAAAAGCTTTATATTTATTATCATATCTAATACTTATAACAACTGTATAAAGTTGATCTTATCACTACATTTATTCACTGATTTGGAAATATTTCAATAGTTAAAGCACTTTGGAATGATTACATGTATTCTAAATGATTTATCCAAAATAATAAGGAATAAGGAAATAAGGTTATTTAAATTCCTTTACATCTTTAAGATAATTATACATTATAAATCATAGAAATGTACAGTGTTAAAATTATTTTAATTACCTTAAGGAATTATAGGATTTGTCTATGTACTACATTAAATTATAAAATGTGTAAATACAAAGGCATTTTTAGTTTTTAATAAAGAAATTACTACTTTGCTAGCAGTATCTTTATAGATTTTAAAATAAGCAATATGTGGGCTTTTTTAATCCTTATGATTGTGTCACATTGATACTTAGGTATTTTAACTTTCACGTATACTCCTGAAAGAGACTGAGTCATGCAAGGTACATTAAATTATAATATTTAAAAAAAGATTGGCGATAATGGATTCATTTGTGACTTGTTTCTTTTTCAAATTTAGGATTATCAAGAAAACAATCCACATAGGAGATGGTTATAGAACTAGTAACATAAGCAAGGATTTAGATTTCTGGATACTTACTTGTACAACAGAAACACCATTTAAAAATTAACTTTTGTTGAACACCTCCCAGTATGGAACTTTAGAATTAATCAGTGTTAAAGAGAAAGGAGATTTGGGATTTGAAGGCACTTTAGTCTGTTATATCGTATTCTCAAACTGTATTCATATACTAGAAGTTCAAAACTTATGAATACAACCAATTATCATTGCTTTCAATATTGCCTCCTCAGACTAAACCTTCATTTATAGCCTGGAATACTGAAATAGATTCCTAAAAATCTTCCTGCTTCACCATTTGATCTTCTTTAGTAAATATTTTAAACTTCACCCAGATGCATACAATTTAAATGAAATTATGTTCAAAATCATCCAAAGACTCCACTTCACAATGAATGATTTCACATCTGTCCCTTGATTTCACTCTGTACCACTCCTTTTCTGAATAGTCACACAAACCTTTCTGAAATTCAAATTAGGCAGAGTCCATTCTTCTTTCTGAGCAATTTATATGACTGGAATATTGTTTCCTTGAATAGTCACATGGGTTATTTGCAATTTTATGTGTATCTCTTCAAATGTCACTTTTATGGAGGCATTTATCTGGAATAAGCCAGAAATATGGGCAAATAGAATTTTGGGACAACCTCTCTAGCTCTTTTTCTTTCTGAGATTACTTTCTTTTTCCAGCAACTATAAATGCTGTGACTCAATACCCTTCCTATGGTTCTGTAATGCCAGTGAGTAATAGTCAGTATGTTTACTTTCACTGGAATAAGTCAAGTAATTATTTAAAAATGGGAATATTTATGGTATTACGAGGCTCAAAAGAGTAGGAAAATCTGTTTATAAAATGTACTGTGTTCCCCATGAGCATATTATATAAGTAAAATACAGTACTAAAAATAAGTCATGTTGTCAAAATAAATAATGCTAGTATCAAACCATGCACTTTCTTAACTTGTAATACTTAGAGAAATTCATATAAATATTTCTTGTGTAATTGTGTTCCCCCACCCATACACACTCAGAAAGATCTCTTTATGTTTGAGGTGCCATAGTTTTATTCTAAGACCACAGTAACTTAGGATTTTGAAGAAAATTCATTTTCAGGATGAGCAGTAAGCCATTTACTGGTCTTGGGATTTGTCAGTTTGGAGAGTGTGAGAGAATCTCAGATCTAAGGATTTCTGCAAGCATTCAGCTTCCTGATAAGTACCCTCCTCTCTCCACTGCCGGCCATAGGTACTTACATGGATTAAAAGAATAGATTGCTTCCTCTCAACACTGAGCTTTAAACTTTCTAAATATCAACTTTTCTTGTTTTTTCAACTCTGTTTTAGTTTTGAGGGGGGTATGTGTGCAGTTTTTTACATGGGTAAATTGTGTGTCACTGAGGTTTGGTGTACAAATGATCCTGTTAACCCATGTAGTGAGCACAGTACCCCATAGGTAGTTTTTCAACTCTTACCTCCTCTTTACCTTCTTCACCTCTAGTAGTCCCTGATCTCTATTGTTCTCATCTTTATGTCCATGTATACTCAATGTGTGGCTCCCACTTACAAGTGAGAGCATGCAGTATTTGTTTTTCCGTTCCTGCATTAATTTGCTTAGGACAATGACCTCCAGCTGCATCCATGTTGCTGCAAAGGATATGATTTTTTTTATGGTTACATTGTATTCCGTGGTGTATATATACCACATTTTCTTTATCCAGTCCAGTGTTGATGGACATCCAGGTTGATTCCATGTCTTTGCTTTTGTAGATAGTGCAGCAATGAACCTATGAGTGCATGTGTGTTTTTGGTAGAACAATTTATTTTCCTTTGTGTATACACCCAGTAGTAGGATTGCTGGGTTGAATGGTAGTTTACCAGTTTATAATTATCTTTCAAAAATCTAGAAAATAATTTGTAGTTACCACACTTGTGTCATTCAGACTTTGTAATAATGTACTTTTTCTGACAATAACAAAAAAACCCCACAAATTTCAAGTGAAAACTATCTCTACATTCATGAAGAATAATCTGCAATTCACTGTGAGAAAGAAGATTCATTTATAAAAGGTGCCTGTGGCCTCTTTCTCCTCCTTCCTCTCCTCCTTATCCTCCCTTTTGTGTAATACAGAAGTGGGCTGGTAAGCTAGGTCTCCTCCAGCCTACGTTTAAAGTACACTTTACATGAAAGTGCACCTCCTTCATTTAAAATCTCATCATTTCTACTCAGATTGGTATTTTTATATTTATGTTTCTATGTTAATAATCCATTATCTGAATGTCCAATTTAATAATATGTTTTCCATTGAAATTTTTAAGATTGAGGAACCAAAAACTAGTTCAAAGAAGAAATGAAAATTTCCCATGTTCCTAATCTCAGAATTAACTGTCTTAAACACTTTAATTTTCTTGCTCCCAACTTTATTTGAATCATCCTTTGAAAAAATACAATAAAAATATGTGAATATAATAGCTTTCTTTAAAAATAATGGCTTATTACAAACAAAGCTAAATATATCTTTTGACTATTACTGGCTCAATATTGTTTCTTTATTCAGTACTTGTCAGAGGCAAATCCAAACCCTTTAGGTAGAATAAAGTACTAATCAACTTGCATCACTTAAAAGGAGCTTTTTGCATTGTGAAGAAGTGGAGAGTAGAGACGTTTTCTTGTTCTCGTTTGTAGCTTTCAAACCAGCAAGGCACTGGGCCTTAGCTAGATCTTCATACTTTTAATTGTACCAAAGTAGACAAAATGATGTAATGAGTTATGAAGTATAAGGAATGAAATTATCAAGAGTTTCCAAATTGGTATTTATTAACTTATATTTTATGAAATATTTTTAGATAAAATAGTATGCAGTGGGAATTTAAAAGGTGAAAAAAATGTTCTTAGTTTTCCTCTGATGTTTAACAAATTTAGTTGCTTTCCTGAAACTAAAAAAACTTGCCTTCCTGAAGTAAAACATTTGTTCCAGAGGTAAGATTTAAGTTTTCACATTAGAAAAATATTATATTAGACAAAATGAGATTTTAGCAATTTTTTAAGTACATAAACAAGTTTTGAAACAAATACCTGTCCTTGCAGGAAGAAGAAATAATCAGTGAATTATATATTTCTGAAAAAAATTGGCAGTTTATAGTTCTGAAGTATTTTTCAAACCCTTGATTAAATGATGCAATTTTGTTTGTTGTTTTCAGTTTTATAAAGCTTAAAATCTTTCAGTTTCATTAAATTACAGGTAAACCCAATGCATTGATAGGCAATCAATATATGCTTAATTTATACTTAGAAATCAATCCTCACAATTTGCAAGCAACCATGTTTCTAGGATTATTTTGGGTTGGCATTGGAAGAAACTTCAGAAAAAAGCAATTATTAATAATGCTATAGTAATTTAATTCCATGAAGAAGATTGATATCAACACAGGAAAAGTAAAAGGAGGTACTATTAGTTATTTTGTGTTCATAGCTCTTCAGAATTAACTAACCTACGCTCATATATCAACTATATAAAGATTGAAGAAAAGAAATCAGTTAGTTTCAAACAAAGCAGGGTAACAGAAATTTTATTTGGCATATGCACATATGTTTGTATGGAAGTAGTGGTTGAAGTACTTTTGGATAGACCAAAACCATCTCACCAACAGCAAAGCTGCCCTGCAGATTTGCAGCTGACCAGAAATCTAGGTCTTAACCTCAATTAAATCAAGGAAATGTAAAGTTTCCTTGAAGATTTATATGGCTATATTCCTTCTTGGATCTTCAGCACATTAAATGACAAAAGTAATCTTACTGAAATTGCCTTGTGGTATCGTTTTGATTGAAAGTTCTTCAGCATTTCAATGTGTGTTACAGCCTTGCCAGTTAAAACCTAATTTGATATGGATTAATCTAGAAGAAAAAGCCCAAGCAGAAACATCTCATCCAGATAGGAGGACTTTGATGAAATGTGTCCCAAGGATAGAATTGCTTGGTGTCTGTTAAATGACAGTATTAATAGAAAAAAAGAAATTTATTAAATTGGATGAGATAAATTAATAGTGGTGTCCATCATATTTTGCTATACAACAAGTGAACATAAAATTCTCAGGGGCTTACAATACACATTTACTTTTACCTCGTGGATCTTTGGATTAGTTGAGGTGTGATTGAGACAGACTATGGTTCTCTTTCAGGCTGTGGGTTGAATTCAGATTTTCTCAATATATCTTATGCTCTTGACCAGGCCAAAAGCAGCTAAGCCAAATTCTTCTCATGGCAGATTGGGACACCAAAGCTAATCACATTTCCGGCCCCTGTTACTGTCAGTTCCTCTAACATTCTCTTGGCCATAGCATGTTACATGACCAAAGCCAACATAAATGAATTGGGGAAGTAAAACTCTTCTCATAAAGGAAGGGCAAATAAGTGAATATTTGTTGAACAATATTACATGTCATCATATTTATTAAGCAAATGAACTCAAAATAGTAAAATAGCTTTCTTCAATGTCAAATTATACAAAAACCTAAACCTACACTAGCTTCACTGCTCCTCTTGGGACTATTGCTGCATAAAAATAATATTTAAGTGTAGGGTGAGAAAGGGAAGAGAAGGTCTTAATGAGTCAGTAAAGAGAAATTGCTTCTGACTTCACAAAAATGAATTTATGACAAGTATAAGTTAATTGTGTTTATAATTACTGATTCTATTCAATTACTATGAATATTATTATTGATGCTACTGTGGAGAAAACCACTAGATGTAGATAAATATTCAGTATTTTCTCTAAGAATAATAAAAGCTGAAATTAATGCATGGGAACACAGCATAGCAGAATAAAGACTACATTTCCCAACACCCCTTGCTGATAGGTTTGGTCAAGTATCAAGTTCTTGCCAATGAAGTGTACGCAGTAAAGATTGGAGGAATTTCTCAGAAACTTCCTGAAAATTTAGCAGACACATGCAAGGCAGAACATCCACAAATGAGAGCCCAAAGCAGGATGAAATGATTGGATTCATTGCAAATGTTATATTCTAAATAAAACACAGGAATGAAATCTGTTTTTTATTGTTGTTCTTCTTGTTTTGTTTTGAACTTGATATTGGTTACTTGAGAAACTAATGCCATCCTGATTTTACAAACAGCAAAACACACACAGAATGATATGGTATAGGCTGGGTGCGGTGGCTCACATCTGTAAACCCAACACTTTGGGAAGCCAAGAGGAGCGGATCACTTGAGGTCAAGAGTTGACACCTTCTCCCAAAGGCTTTATAATCTAACCAGGAAACACTGTCCATAGTTGTAACTAAAAATCATGCGATACAAACTCAATCTAGTTCTACATGATTAGAAGATTTAATCAATTTAAGCTGAAATCATTGTTTAGGGCTTTATTGTAGATTTGCAGAGATGAAAGCAATTAAAAGCATTCACAAATAACAGTAATATAAATATGTAACCAACTCTGACATAGTTAAACAGTGCTAGATCAACTTAGCGATGTGTAAGATTTAGTTTCTAAGCAATCATTTAAGAGCAATTTATCTTATGTTATTTGTTACACACCTTAGTATAGATATGTCTGCAATATGTCAATAATAATATTACACAGAAAAATTCATGGGAAAGCAAGCAGTAAACTGTTAGTCTAAAATTTATAAGTCACCAAAAGGAATATTTTATTTAGAATATGAAATTCCAGCCATGTTTAAATAGTTAACACCACTGTCAAAAGTTTTATTAAAAAATACTAAAGATATGTGCTCTTGAATTTTAACATCATTCTTTGAATTTGTATAATTCATCAATCATAGGAATGTTTATTTATATAGCTCATTAATGTTCAACAAAAAGCCTAGCTCTTAGTAAATAAGATCTTGAAAGAAATCAACAATCATACACTACCCAAACATATTCAAAAACAAAGCAAGAAAAGAACAGGATAAACACATTACTGAAAGGAAGTGTACAATGTATATTAAAAACTTGATCTTTTTCCTAGATTATATTTCCATGGAAGTGAGGTTAGATTCCAAATGTGAAACATGGCATGGATTTTATATTTTAACAAACACATATACATGCATATATATACATCCATTATATATACATATAAGGATTCATATACACAAACAAATTCATTTAATTCTGAAGAGAAGGCTTTGAGATCGTTGTTCCCATTCTGTAAATTAGAAAGTCTAAACATAGGTTAAACTGTGGCATTACCTGCCCAGAATAGAAGCAGGATATAACTTTGGCAGCTTGACTCCATCCAGTGACCTAGCAAGTACCTAATATGGTACAATTTACAATGTCGAGGCATAGTAAAATGTCTCTTAATCCCTATAACAATAAAATATTGCTCCTATATAAAATAATGATTGTAAGACTAAAAGTAAACAAAGCATGTTATTTGCGAAGCAGCTCTAGTATAGAGGGAATATAAGCTTTTGATATAGAATAAGACGATCTTTATTTAAAATCTAATTTTACAACTTATTAACATTGTGGCATCAGTGTGATTTACTGAAGAACAAAACCTAGCATTTTGTGAGAGTTTGCCACTTGTGAAATTCCAGTTTAAGATTTGTATCTGTCATATTATGTAATCCTCATTAAAAAAAAATCTGAGGTTGATAATATTGTTATTTTCTTTTTATCCATGGGAAAACTGAGAGTTAGAGAAAAAAAGAACTTTCAAGGTCACCCTAGGGAGTGGCGGGGGCAAGATTTAGACCTTGCTCAGAGACTCATTTCTCTCATATGTTAAATGAGGATCAGAGTCTCCAAATTTATGATTATTATGAAGATCAATCGATAGACTTAAGATACTGCATTCTAAATACATAATGTGGCATGAGAGATCTTGCAAGTTAAAAGCTCTGCAAAGGAACCTATATTCTTGCCTGCCGCCAGTTCTGCATAATTGCTTATTCCTTGAATTGGAAACAGAAATGAAGTGCTCATTATCCAAGAGTGTAGAGAAAGGCCCTGGGATGGCAGGGCTACTTTTTACAAGACATTGTTGCAGGACCTCCCTGGCCTTTCTCTGGATTTACTGGAAATCAAGTTGAGGACTAGCCAAACTGTTGAGAAATTAACCAACTGAAAAAGCACATTCTTCTCTATTTCAAGTTATGTCTGTATTTAGAGAGCTGCACTTTAGTCAAAGAAATATTGTGCATGAGAGCAACTAGGCTCCAGGTAATTCGTAGTACTTGCTCAAAGTAACACAGAATACTAACACATTGTTAGAACATCCTGACTAAGGCATCAACAGCCTGAGTTTCACAAGATAATCAACTTTGGGTATATTAAAATATAATAATATATGTGTATGTATACATTTATATGCATATACTATGCATATATATTAAAAGATATACGTATAGAAACAAGACTATTAGATTTCAAGTAATATGAAAGTATTAGAAACATCCATCAGGTTCTGTACTTACTCATGAACTTCTTACAGCCTCCAAGGGGATGATATGGGAATTGTCAGAGCTTATGGGTTAACAGCATGGGCCTTGGAATTCCAGAAAGTGGAGAAATGATTCTCAGCTTGGGCATTTACCAATTACTTAACCTTCTAATCTTTATAGTTCCTGTAGCAAATTGATGTAAGCAATGTCTATTTTGTAGAGTTGTTGGAGAAGAAGTTGTGATATAAAAATTGACATATGTGAGTAACATATGCCAGTTATTTAATTTTGTACTTGATTTTGGTGAGTGCACAATAAATAGTATATTTTATTATTAGAAGTTTTTTATTTAGGAATATCAATTATTTTAAAAGTAAAAATAATAGAATTACATTATTTTGAATTAATAAGAATTAATAAAAGAAATAGTAACACATTGTTGGATAATGGGTACTTTTTGTAATTGCACTTATGATCTGATGTTTTTAATCTAATGTATGTGATGTGTCTAACACCAATTCTGAGGTCATAGGCTAATTAATAGTAAGAATAACTTATCAGTCATTTGAAACAAAATTAGTAAGTCACAATCACATCTGCATTTTAAAATTATTAGACATAGTCAATAGAAAGCCTTCAATTTCATCTTGGCTCAAATTTTCAATTAGAAGAAATATACATAATTATAATATTACTTAATTTTTTTAACCCAGGTAAACATTCTGATTATCCTTTAGGAGAGAGCAGATTAAATGGTTAAGAATATTCACAGTCCTTTCTCTAAACCTTAAGTTTTATAAAGTTGCCACATGTAAGTATCACATGAAATCAAAATGTGTTGTCACTATTTTTGTCATATATTTAGAAGATCAACTTACTGGCCAGTAATGTTAGTTCTGCTGAGGCACTGTATTACAGAGTTTAAGTGCACTGGCTCTAGAGACTTACCTCTGTAATGAGGATGAGAAAAATAATTACAACTACCTCTTAGAGTTTATATTCTAGCATACAGTAAATACTCAAACATGATAGCTGCTGCAAACTTTAAAGTCATCTTTAATCCTTTTAATTCGTTCACACCCCATCATGATTCCATTAGCACATTTATCAACTACAGTTTCAAAATATATCACATCATTGAATCCATCTCATCACACCCATTGCTAACACTCTATCTAATTTATGTTTCTCTCTCACCTTGACTACTACTAATTGGACAGCTAATTACTCTTCCTGCTGCTGCTCTTAGCTCTAAAGTCTATTTCCACACAGTAATTATAATATTAGTTCAATATATGAATCAAATTATCTGATTTCAATACTTAACTCCCTTCTAGACAACCTATTTTAAAAAAATCTAAAATTTTTAGGTGCAGTGGTTCTATATGGTCTTCCCCTTGCCCAGTCTTTTCCGGGTTTGTTGGCCCTCAAACCTGTCCAGCACAGTCTCTTTCCATAGACTCTTCCTGGAGGCTTTTTTGCCTAAACATGTATAATGCTCATCTCCTCACTACCTTTTAGTGCTTTCTCTTTATTTCTTTTGCTTTTATTTCAAGTGTCCATCACTCATATATTTCACTATGTATTTTTCTGCTGTCTATCTTTGCCTCCAGTATAAACACTCCATGGAGCCAGCAAGTTAGCTTTGATAATCAATGTCCTACCTATGCCTAGAGATGTGCCTGGCAAATTGCCTATTATATACAAGGATCGAATGAATGGGCGGTCATGAGCTAGACACTATGTTAGGTGATTTAAATATATTATCTCACTTAACCTTCAAAATAGTCATAAAATGTGGTCTCATTCTTGTCAATATAACATCTTACAAAATTGAGCCAACAAAAGGAAATTAATTTCTGGGAGGCAAGTAACATCTTACTGTGACTCAGAATATAAACCCAAATTTTAATGACTCCAGAGTGTCCACTATTTTCATTTTGCTGTGCTTCTTTTCTAATCTTTCTGAATATCTAGAAGACAACAAAATCTGTGACAAGCCATTATTTTACATCATAACACCTGGGTCAGTGTAAGATCTCCATTAGGCGCTATTTACAGTTTTGCAAGGAGTTCATCATCCAGCCATTAATATCAAATGACAGTACTGTTTGGTTGTGTTAATATGGCATCTATCTTATTCACTCCACTGAAATACACAATGCAAATACTTCTTTTAAAAATTTTTGTGCAAATTTTGAGTCTGAGAACTTCAGTATTCGTATTTTTCCATAACCTTACGAACCTTGAGGCTGACTCAGTACTCTAGGGCTTTTCTTCAGATAAAACTGAGAGTTTGCTCTGAAAATATCCTCTTGGAATATGGCCACCATTGCCTTTGCCCCACTGAGTATAGAGATACTTCTACTTCAGTTTTTGTCATTATATTCCATAAAGTCTTTTCATTCAAAACAAAATCAGGACACAGTATTGTGACTTTCTTACTAACAGCTGATTGCTTCACAGTAGACTTATTTTCAGAAACACCCAAGTATGTAATCCTCTATTATTGAAGGAGCACTTTTACTTTAAGATAATAGTTACATAGTGTGAGAAATGTTGATATGGTTTGATAAAAAATTAGCATTCACCCAGGAGATGTGTTGCGAAGCTAATGTGAGTGCCTCAAGGGACTGGTATAACCATATACATAACTTTTCCATTATTTTCTATTGAAATGTGTAGTAAGATAACTAATTTAAATATGTTTCACTGAAACTAGAATTTGTAAACATCCATTGTGTGTAGGATTGGTTTTCATAAATTAATTTTTGTAAACTGTTTTGGTAACTTTAGCCGATGTTCAGTACTAGGAGAAATATACATTACCTATGTGCACCGTGTATTTTGATAAGGTCAAATGACTATTTCCTAAGCAAGTGATTATTGAATTTGGAGGAAATGAGTTCTAATATAGAAGAAATTTGATTGATTATGGAATTGTGAGAAATTGTCATTTAATATATGAACAATAATTGTACAGAAAAAATCTGAATATACTACAAAGAATCTAATGACAAATGTGAAGATTAAGGATCAAAAGTCATTTTGATCAAAAGGAAAAAATCAGTATAATTAAAGTTAAATGTCAGTCAAAAAATTATTTTAGATTTGTGTCTAATTATTCTGTTTATAAATAGAACAAATTCCACTAACCCCGGTATTTAAGCTAGATACAGGCTTGAACTGTTACTAAGTGAATAAGAGGGTTTTTTCTTTAGTTTTTAAAGTTGGAATTAGAAAAACATGCCATGTTTACTTCTGATTGCAAAGTATGTAATCATTTTTTTAAGTTGGATGGGCTACAACCATTCTACATTCTAAGAAAACTCATAATATGTTCTTCAAACTACTTCCACAGCCTCATGATAGATTACTGCAAAGAAATCATGCAATCTTTCAAAATTTATGTAAACACGGAAATAATGAAATATTACATACAATCTCTTAAATTAATAAATCTTACACATTTGTAATAAAATAACCAAATGAAATTGCAAAAGGCATATATCACTATGAAAGTAACATATACTCGATATTTTGACAATTAATAACAGCAGTCATAATTTAACATAATTAAAGACTATCTATTGCTTTTGATTGTACTCAATAAATGCAGTATGAACAGAATTTTCAATGTATACTTTTCACAAGATAGTAAATTAGTTAAATAGTTTTTTCATAATGAGTTGTTGTACAGTGGTGTCAATCAACTCAAAACAGCTAAAAATTCAGCAGTTATTCCCCAATAATTATAAACTAAGCTTTGCCTATGGCTTCCAGAGAGAGCGGACAAAATAGTTGTAAACTAAATATCCATGAAGTAGTGGCAATGAACCCAGTAACCAGTATGAAACTTTGGAATGTAAGGTTGTTGTTTTTTTTTTCCCCGCCATATATAAACACACACACACACACACACACTCTCTCTCTCTCTCTCTCTCTCTCTCTCTCTCTCTGTCTCTCTCTCTCTCTGTCTTATGGGCTGAGAGGTACTATCAAGGCATATTCTTGCCAGAATATTGGATTCTAAAAGCTAATAGGTTTAGCAAGGTTGTGACTGGCTGGTTTGTTTACACTGGTCTAAGACAAATGACAATTAGGAACTTCTTCCAAGATAAGAATTCCCCCATCTGGACTGTAACTAATGCTGTTCAAGTGAAGAAATGGAATGGTGGTTGGTAGGAACTGGTGCCGCCTTGATTTTTCCTGAAGTCCCAAACTCATCGGAGTCTTAAAAAATTTTAAGTGTTTTTTTTGTTTGTTTGTTTGTTTTTGTTATATTTGCATCACAACTACCCTGTTGTGAATATTTTCAAGAGGAAATGAAAAAGGGTCAGCTAACTTCAGCAAACCTATTTAAGAGGATTAAATAAGAAACTTAGATTACCTACCTCTAAGATCCTTTCCAACTCAAAAGTGAATTCTATGGAGCTAACCCAAATAAAGGCTCCACAATTTTCTATCAGTATATCTTAAATACCAGAAAGGCACTTGTTGAATATGTTATGAAGTGTTTCCTAGACAAGATTGTACAGAGATTTGTTGAAACAAGCTGTTGCTTCAGACTCAAAGCCAGAAATTTCATGTTCAATAATTATTCGATGAGGCTAAAGAATTTTTTTTTTAGTATTCTCCAGACAAATATTTCAATCAAGTAAACTTGAAAATGATTAATCTAAGCTATATATGCCAGCCATGAGACTACTGAAATTCAAAAGATTTGCCTACAGTATCATCATTTTAATATAGTTTTGTGTCAGCCTTTAAGGGGTAAAAGTGGGCTTATATAAAAGAAGAAAATATTTGTTTTCTTGAATGTTTATTTGGTACTACGATCTTTGTATATAGAAGGTAAAACTCTGATGGTGATACAGGGGGATGGAGGGGATGTGAGAGAAAGCACATTTTGTCTGTAAAAATCATCAGAAGTTGACAGAAAATTTCGATGAGAGCCAGAACAAAACAAAGATACCTAGTTTTAGTTGAGAAAATAAAAATGGAGAAAATGAAGTATTCTGAAACAATAAGCCAGCATTGTGGTGACTATTTCTGAGGTGTATGTCATTACACTTGTATGTTTTATTAAAAAAGCTTTTAAAAGAATGTGTGCTATTTTTAATTAATAAGAATTAATAAGCATAGAAAATTCACCTGGTCCAGGTAATTTGATGAATTGGGTAGTAAGGTGAGTTAGTTAAAGTGATCAAATAGGTTGAGTTTAAAGAAAATGGCAGATAAGGGGAAATAAACAACTAGAAAATTTTCTTTCAAGTTTAGAATATAAATTATCCTGAAAATTTTATTCAGAGGCACTAATATAGGATTTTTCTTTTTCTTTCCTTAATGCCTTGTATTCTGCTGGGGACATAAGCACATTTAAATCAAAGATGGCTCCCCTCTTCCAACATAAATTTATAAGTATAATGAAATGAGGGAAGGAGAGTGCTCCCCCAAATTTGCAGGCAACACCGTGTCAAAAATGAAAATAAAAAATGGATAAACTGTGATGTGTAAGTTGACTTTAAGTGGAGTATAGGTTGTTTAAAGGATACTGTTTATATTTCCCATTGCATGTATTTGCATTTAGAAGCAATCACTAAAACAAATGTACTTTAATACACATTTGTAGAAACGTTTCAGTAACAATAAATAAATATAGATTTCCAGCTAGCATGCATTCTCTAACTCAGTGAAAACAAGTTTCTTCAGTGGTTGAAAACACGTAAAATAGACAAAATTTTATTTGTTTATACCCGTGTTGTATTTTTCTATAAATTTCCAAATACCCTAGCACTGTGCATCAAGCAATAATTGTTTTTAAAATAAAATAAGTGATTGAATTAATGAATTAATAGATTTAATAATGTTCAAATTGTGAATAATTCAACTTTCTTTATTACTAAACTTTACATAAAGAGTAAGACATTTTGTAATTTTTTAGTTTTATTTTTAATTGACACATAATAATTGTACATATTTGTGGGGGTAAAGGTGATGTTTCCATACGTGTGAACACCATTTAATGATCAAATTGCAGTAATTAGCAAATCCATTATCTCAAATATTTATCATTTTTCTGTAGTGAGAACATTTAAAACCTTCTCTTTTAGGCTACTTGGAAGTCTAAAAGATAATGTATTATCGTTAACTATAGTGACCTTACTGTGCAGTAGAACACCAGAACTTATTCCTCCTAGCTAACCATAACTTTGTACATGTGGGTTGATCAACTTCTTCAACTTTTTCTCCCTTCCTTAACATTCCCAGATTCTAGTAACCAATATTCTACCTCTACTGCTCTGAGATAAACCTTTTTGGATTCCATATATGAGTAAAATCATGTGGTATTTGTCTTTCTGTATCTGGCTGATTTCACATAACATATGTTCTACAGGTTAATCCACGCCTTTGCAAATGACAGGATTGCCTTCTCCTTTATGGCTGAATAATATTCTCTTTTGTATACATACAATGGAATACTAGTTTTCTTATCTATTTATTTGTTGTTGGACACTTAAATTGAGTCCTATATCTCTCTGTCATAACATGTATCACATAAAATTGTAATTTTATTTTATATATGTATTTGTACCTCTCTAATATATTAAAAAAATTTTTGAGCATCTATGTTATGGCTTGCACTGTGTCAAGTCCTGAAGATTTCATAGTAATAAATATTCATGTGGTTCCTGGCTTTACTGAACCAAGAGGCTAAATAGCTCTACATGTGATGTGTGTTTCAAAAAGGGACGTATACAGTGTTAAGGAAGTTTTGGACTCACAGGATACAAGTTAGGTCTCTTGTATGTATTTGTGTGTGTCTGTGTGTGTGTGTGTGTGTGTGTGTATTACTTATTATGATCTATACATTTCCTGTAATATAAAGAATAATTTGACAACATTTTAATAAATGAATACAAAGCTCAAAGCCTATCTCTCCCTACACTTTTTTTCATGAATATTTTTTCTTAAATAAATTTCTGAAGCAAACCTCTATTGAATATCTTTAGCTTTTGCCTTTTTTCTTTTTTCAATTAAAAAATAGCTACTTAGCATTCATAAACCATATGTCTAAGGCCTTTTAAACCCCCACAATCATAAATAGAGAATGTTTTTACACAGCTGTATACATTTTCCTGAGTTAAAAATCCACCAAAAGTCTCTAATGTGATACCATAGATCCACACCACAAATTAACTTTTTAACTATAACTATATATTTTTTCTTATTCTGTAGGCAATTTTCATATTGTCTGGTTGCTTATTGAAACAGTTGCACAATATCTTTTCTGACATGGCCATCTCTTGCAAAAGAAATATTTTTGTTATTCTGGGTTTAATGATAAATAGAGAAAAAATAAATAGAACATACTACCATATTGGGAATAAACTCTGGCCTTGACTACAAGCTGTTACTCATGCTATCTACTATAGGCCCCTGTAAGTCACAAATTAAAGATAAAAAATTTGAGAAATTAATTTAAAAGACTGAAATGTGTAATATATTAGAAATCACGAGAGTTAAGTTTGTGAATTCCAAAGTTTACTGTGGTAACATGCTTTCTTCTCATTAGGATATGAGAGTAATAAGTTAGATATTCAGACCATGACTATAGAAATAGAATGCTACAATAGAATAAGAAATAGGATGCTACAGTAGAAATAAGAAAGTACTTTAAGACTAAAAGTTACCCTCTACTTCAAATCCAAACATTTATAATTAGGATTATAAAATCACTTATTTTCTCTGGGTCTTAGCTTTCTCATGCATTAAATGAGTACAATAGATATTGTTGTGTCTTGTTATTTACTGACTTTCAGTGCTGGCTAGGGCTTCATTCAATATTATTATAAAAATAAAAGTCATCAATAGAACACTTAGAGTTGTGATAATAGAACACTATATAGAGTTGTGATAAATAGAACACTATATAGAGATGTGATAAATAGAACACTATATAGAGATGTGATAAATAGAACACTATAAAATTGTGATAAATAATTTAGATAGATTGTTTCTACTTGATCTTCTAGTGTCTCCTTGTGTGTTTAGTATTCATTTGTGGAGTGATTGTGTTTGACAGGTAGCCTGTGAACACAAAATAGAATGACACGATATTATCACCTAGAGATGGGCTTACACAAGCATTTACTAGAGCCATAACACTGATTGGGTCTTGAAGGGAACACTCAGAAACTGAAATTTCTTTTTATTAAAAAAAAATTTGATATGGGTTGCCATGGTTGGTCTAGAACTCCTGAGCTAAATGATCCTCCCACCCCAGCCTCCCAAAGTGCTGGGATTACAGGTGTGAGCCACTGCAGTTGGCCAGAAACTGAAATTTCTTAAAAATATGTATCAAGGATTTTACTAACCTTAAACCATCTTTTACATGCCAGGCATTCTTCTAGATATCAAAGGATTCACCATCTATTTGCAGGGACAACCATGCACACATGGATTTTCTACGTAATTTACTCTGTGCATAATAGATTTGTGAATAAAGTGATGATACTACACTGGATGGAATAGCAAGTTCTGCCAGAAGAAGAGAAAAATGGTATCAGGAAGATTTTATAGATGAGACATCTGAACAAAATCCTTAAAAATGAGAAGACTTTTGCCAGAAAGTTAGAGCAGACAGGAGGGAGGATATTCGACAGAAAAGCAACAGCGTGAGTGAATTCAGAGATGTATAAAGAAGCATGATAAAGTTGGGGAAAAAATTGTCCCAGAATCCTCCAGAGTTAGTCAACCATTCACCCAAATGCCTAAAGCACTTTATTCCTATAGCCATGAAGCTAATTCTGGCCATCAGCCTTTCAGGGTCTTCAAGGGTGGGACAATTGCTGATAAAACTAGTTCTGAATCTGGCAGATGGTATATATTCAACAGGAAATTATTGAATCAAAGTAAAAGGAAAAAAATGCGTATTTAAACTGTGCTTTTTGTGGGACAAGTTGAGCCAAATTGTGATGGGCTTTAAGTATTAGTGAGCAGTTTGGCTCTTATTTAAATCTGGAAAGAGAAGCCAGCCATCAAGGAAATTTAACTAGGGGGAACAACACAGGTTCAATGTTCTTGAGTTTCAAAAGTTGAAAAGATCTTTTCTCTAGCCTCATAACAAGACCAATTCATCCCAGTAGAATAAATGAGAGTTTTTTCTTTTGTAAAAACAAACAAACTTAAACTGGTCTTGTGCAGATATTGGATTCTTTAATAAATATTGTTAGCTTTCTACAGTTGGAAGTAAGTAAATACTATAAGTCTTTTCCCCACAACCTTCTACCAGTTTATTTTGAAACCAAATCTATGGCCAAATTCTGCTACAAATTCAGTCATTTATTAAAACAAAACAAACAGGAATAAATGTTTAAAAATGGAAGCATAAAACAATGTTTCCTCTTCTGTAAACTTGGTGAAGCTCCACCTCTCTGCCCTTTTATGCATTCCATCAGCACCTTGTGTAAAACATTTACCAGAAACAAATGCAATAATAGTCTAGAGGCAGGATTCAATTTGCCAAAACCAGCTCAGTTAGGGAGACCCTAACCCAGTGGCACTAGAGGAATTAAAGACACACACCCAGAAATATAGAAATGTGAAGTGGGAAATCAGGGGTCTCACAGCCTTCAGAGCTGAGAGCCCCGAACAGAGATTTGCCCACATATTTATTAACAGAAAACCAGTCATTAGCATTGTTTCTATAGATATTAAATTAACTAAAAGTATCCCTTATAGGAAACGAAGGGATGGGCCAAGTTAAAGGAATAGGTTGGGGTGGTTAACTGCAGCAGGAATGCACTCTTAAGACATAGATCACTCATGCTATTGTCTGTGGCTTAAGAATGCCTTTAAGCAGTTTTTTACCCTCAGCAGGCCAGTTGTTCCTTTCCCTCATTCCCGTAAACCCACAACCTTCCAGCGTGGGCGTTAGGGCCATTATGAACATGTTACAGTGCTGCAGATATTTTGTTTATGGCCAGTTTTGGGGCCAGTTTATGGCCAGATTTTGGGGGGCTTGCTTCCAACATCAATTAGTCAGCTACCTGCAGTCAGGCATCCAAGTAGCATCTGAATTAGCAAGTGGAAAGATGACTTAAAGAACCTAAGCTTAGAAAATCTTTCTTAGGAGTATAAAATCTGACTTTCCTAGATTTTTATATCCTGTACATATAAGGCAGGAATGCCTTTCTATACTTTTAGTAAATATATATTTTTCAAATTCCACTATTTTTACCAGTGGAAAAAAATCATTTCTATCAGCCATTTCTAATTAATAAACCATATGATGCAGACTTCAAATAAACGGGGCTTATACCTTGTTATAGTTGCCTCTGGAGTGTTGAGTTTTGATTTATACTAATTCCTGTCTACCTCGCTAATCTTCCTCTACTTCCCCACAAAAAATCCAACTTTCAATGCATATTCTTGTTAACAATAATTGACCAGTCCGCCTAAGGTGTGGTTTTGAACAAATACATACACACTAACTTGTCCCATTGTCTTTTTCGAAGTAGTAGATTATAGACAAGAGAATAGTAAATGCCTATTTATTCTGCTCATTACTGTGCTAACCACTCTTCATATCTCTGTGAGATCTCTGTTCTCTTATCCTCAGGAAAGTTCCTTATTTTGTCTAATCATTTCCATGTATTTTAACAATTCATCATGGATGTTAAATATTAGAAAATATCTATCATTAAAACTTTAATGTTTCATTCAATTTAAAGTTGTTCCTTTTTGCCTAGCTGAAGATTGACCTCCCAATTTAGAACTATTGCAAAGATGGCAGCAGGGTATGGGGGATAAACTGTTACTTCATCAGGCCATCACCTTGCTTCTTTCACTTTCTCTTTTCTGGACTTTATGTTTTTCTGTCTCTTTCAGAGTTAGTAGGGAGTGGGCAGAGTATCAGCAAAATAAGACAAGAAGGCACTGTCTAACTTCTTTAGTGTTACGACCTAATGCTGGTAAGTTCTGTGTGGCCAATATTCACATACATTTAGTCTCTCACTCTCTCTCTCCCTCTCTCTCTCTCTCTCGCTCTCTCTCTCTCTCTCGCTCTCTCTCTCCCTCTCTTCCTCTTTCTCTCTCTCCCCTTCCTCTCATATTTACAAAAAAACACTTTAATTAGATTATTTGGAAACTCCTCTTACTTATCAATTCTACACATGCCCTCTGGGGATTTTGCATTATGCTATTCTCTGGGATGGATAATACAGCCTCCAACTGGCTTTGAACAACTCTTCTGACTCTTGACATATGTCTCATATATACCTCTTTAGTGTATGTTTGTTTTTTCTTAGGGGAGGCATTCCATTTGACCATGGTCATTTTAAACTTCTCTCTAACTTGCAGAAAAAACGGCATTCTTACCTCTCCAAACCTCAAAACGATAAGTGGCTAAGTTTCCACTCAAACTTTCCCTTTGCTTTGCATTTAGTGGCATTTACTTCTATATTTTGTATGTATTGCTTGTTCATTAGAAACCAAAAGTATCTATCATGAACACTAAAAATAAAACTAGGTACTCCTTTCTCCTACAGCTTAGTGTATTAATTGAGATGATTTTTGTATTCTTCTGTCTTATTGTCCTAACTTTTCAATTCTTGGAGATTCTCATCCAGGTGTCTTGATTGCTAATTATGCTGATTTCTCAAAAGAGTCACCAATTCTTCAATAGAGAGCCTTAACAGACTGTGTATGCCGTAAGACTTTTCTGAATCCAAAACCTTAAAACCTATACTTCGATATTTCCATCAGTCTTAACCAATTGAAAAACAGCCTCTGATATCTAGAATCTCTCCTGGTAATATCAGATAGAATTTGCTGTTTTCCTACGGAACATAAACATCTGTGCAGAACATCATTTTCAGACAAGACCATTCTGTCACCACGATAGATTAAGACAAAACAAGACCAACTTGGAACATGTCTGAAAAGAAACAAAAACATGAACATTATTCAAACCACAAGATATGATATATTTCCCTCTCTCAGCTAAACTGAATAGCTGCCATTTCTTTATCGATTACAATTTTAATTTCAGTCTATGCTCTCTTCCTATATAAGATTATTGAAATACTCAGTTGCATAATTACCCTCACTACCTGAAATCCTCCAATCCAGAACAAAGCTCCTCTTCCTGAAATCCTTCCACAAATAACCTAATACCAGCCCAAACCCTGTAATAAATCATTTCTAACATCCTCTTATTGAGAAACCCCATGGTTCCTCATGTCGTGTGTGCTGCCTCTCACATAATTAACTCAACTTGTGCAATTACAAGTTTGTTTTTTCTGATCTTTGCCTAGAAGGTTGTGGCATTGTTATGTCTTTATTCTTATGCATCCAAATATGGCCCCGCCCCACAGCCCACCCCCACAGCTCACACCACAAACCCTTATATTGAAAGGCCTGCCTTCAACTAAACTTCAAATTCTCAATAAATTCAAATCTCACCTTTCTACCTCTGAGACACGATCGGAGCTAGACCAAGGTGGTGTTCTCCATGTAAACAATGCATTCAACTTTCTGTTATCTACAGGTTGTGTAGAGGATATGTGACCCCCTTCTGTAAAGGTATTCTGGTAGGCCCATAATAAAACTAACACATGTAATTTAAGTAGAATGGAGTAAGATCTAGTTAACACTTTATCTCAAAAATTTCTGTTGTGTGATCATGTTTGTTTATAGAAATACACAATTGTTAAATTTACATATATAATATTTATAAAAACACAATTCAAGTTTTTAGAATTAATCTTCTTCCACAGAGCAGTCTAATGATCTACATTGTTCATGTCATGGGCATTTTTTTTTTTTTTAAGACGGAGTCTCACTCTGTTGCCCAGACTGGAGTGCAGTGGCGCAATCTCGGCTTACTGCAAGCTCCGCCGCCTGGGTTCACGCCATTCTCCTGCCTCAGCCACCCGAGTAGCTGGGACTACAGGTGCCCACCACCATGTCCGGGTAATTTTTTCTATTTTTTAGTAGAGATGGGGTTTCACCGTGTTCGCCGGGATGGTCTCGATCTGCTGACCTCGTGATCCGGCCGCCTCGGCCCCCCAAAGTGTTGGGATTACAGGCGTGAGCCACTGCACCCGGCCATCATGGGCATTTTAAAAACCTTACAATGGCTTCCAATTGCACTTAAAATATAATCCTATTTCTTACTTTAGTCTACAAGACCGTAAATGATGTGACACTTGCCTGTCAATTCTCACCTCCTGACACTTCTACTTGTTTCTGAGTCTGGTCCCACGGGCCATCTTTTGTCTCCTAATGCATATAAAATTTAGTCCTTCTCTCATCTCTGGCACATACTACTTCCTCTTCATGAAAATCTCCTCCCCAAAATTGTTTTACAGATTTTTTTTTTTTATTCAGGGATGTTTAGTGGACTTTTCTGTCTTCCTATAATACCAGTATGCAAATATTACCTTGGGGATTTTATTTAATTAGCATATTTTGCCACTTATTTCATTTTTTAAAAAATGTTAAGCACATTAATAAAAATTATAAAATTATCTCACTGGGCTTCTGTAAATTTACATTGTAAGGTAATATGACAGTTGGATCAAATTTACCAAACCATGTACCCAGGGAGCCTTGATAAAAGACCAAGATTAAAAGTTGATTTTCAGGCAGGGCACAGTGGTTCATGCCTGTAATCCCAGCACTTTGGGAGGCTGAGGCGGGCAGATCATTTGAGGTCAGGAATTTGAGACCAGCCTGGCCAACATGGTAAAATCCCATCTCTACTAAAAATACAAAAAATAGCTGGTTCTGGTGGCATGCACCTGTAATCCCAGCTACTTGGGAGGCTGAGGCAGGAGAATTGCTTGAACTCAGAAGGTGGAAGTTGCATGAGCTGAGATCATGCCACTGCACTCCAGGCTGGGCAACGAAGACTCTGTCTCAAAAAAAAAAAGTTGATTTTTATTTGTAACATCTGCCTTCAATCTTAATTTCTTTGCATGTTAAAAAATAATGAACTAAAGATATCTTCAGCGAAACTGCAGTTCTTCAATTTTATTTACTTTTTAAAACCGATTTTATGTGATAATCTTAGATATTACCATAAAAATTTATCATAAGTGATTTTTGACTGAGAAGAAATTAACAAATTAAATCTGGTGACATAACTGTAAAATAGGTTCAGTCAGTTATTTTTTTCTGTTAAAATATAGTCTTATGTTACAGATCTAATATTTTATAAATTTCTAAAGTACAAATTTGAGCATCTAGATTATACTTAAGACATACTTATTTCTGGGTTGACCATGTGGTGTAACATAAAAGTAGAATAAAAATGATGATGAAAATGCCGTCTATTCTTCCTTTTTATACAATTGCTCCTAATAAAACAAATTGGGTGCCACTTCTCTTGAAAAGCATTGATTAGAATATTATATAGAGTATATAAATCATCATTCCAATGAAATAATCAAAGCAATTTTCACTGATCTGTCTGTCTCTTCATTAGTATGCTTTGTCTATTCTAAAACTTGAAAGTTATTGAGTGTCATTTTATTCTGTACAAGATACAAAACCATTAATGAAGATCAATAGTTGATGATGACATTTTCATTTTAAGTTTTGTATAAAGCAAGGGAATGTTTGTCATGGGACCCTGGATGTCTATTTTCCTGTTTCAACTATAATAAAACTATTTCATAAAGAAAACAAAGGACATGATGAAACAATTTTTTAGGAGAGCTGGAATTTTGAAAGGTTATTTAAAACATTGTAGACACAAATTTATTTGCAAGATGATTGCATGAGTCTTAATGCTCTTGAGTGAAAGTCCAAGTAGGATGAATATTTGAGTTCTAAGTGATCATAAATTTCAATTTTTATGTCATAGAATTATTGACTAAATTGTTATAATTTTCTATCAACATTTTATTATTTTTCTTGGTGCATTTCCTTGCCTGCTTAAATAATTTATCTGCATTAAAATTGTTTACATTTGTGAGTTTCCATATAGATTATATTAAACAAAAATTAGAGAAGGGATTTAGGTATATGTTTGGGCATTGCCATTAACTTGTAGTGTAAACTTTGGGATACTAGTTCACTTATTTTGGCTGTAGTCTCCTAATCTGTACATAAGAATGTTAAGCTTGCACTAGTTCTAATATTCCATGTAAATTATTGTTTCAAAATGGCAACTAGCAATGATAATATGTGTAATGATTACTTGATAAGTTTATATTTTAAATATTTATATGTAGACTAGTAATTTGAGTTTCAGTTAACAATAATATATTAACAATGGCAAACGCACATAATCCTATAAAAATTAAGATATTTTTAAGCACAATATCATTGTAAAGATTCTGATGGGTAGGTACCATATGACCTCTGTTTCATAGGTGACATGTTCATTTGGTTAAAATCCCTCAGTAAGTGATAGATTTGGTATTTGGAACCAATGAGCAATGCTGTCAACTGAAATATGACATTATTTTATTCATTTAATATGTGTTTATGGTTTAACCTCTTATGATACAAGGCACTGTACCAGGTATAGCAGTGAATAAAATAGACCAAGTTCCTTCCTTTGTGTAGCTTACAATATAATACAGGGAACATATAGATTACAAGTACTCAATAATATTTAGCTCTTCTCCTATCCTGGCACTTGGAAGACTACACTGACTAGGTACTTTGGAGTTGGGCCCATTATGTGACTGGCTCTGGGGAAGGAAATAAAAAATAAGAAGTGTTGTACATGCCTTCTTAGGCAGTGATAAGCTTTAAAGTTTCTACAGGCTCTTCCTTTTTGTGTCAAGTTGATCTAGGGGGCTTTTTTTTTTTTTTTTTTTTACAGATTTTACATCTTAAAAGGGATAGTCTGTATCACCTTGGGTCTATGAGTGGTCATCTGAATGAGAGCTCTCCCATAGGCCCCTCAAGCCACAATGAATATGTGATATGGGTGAGAAATATGCTTTTACAGACACTGAGATTTTATGATACTGATTATTGTCGCATTATCTAGACAGTCTTGACAAAACAACAGAGATTAAAGAATTGATGAGTATTGTTAACGGGGCCAAGAACCTAGAGTTTGTTTTCTGAAGAAATTGTATTTAAAATGAAACCTACAAATACAAGTTAGCTTAACAAATGGGAAAAGTAAGTATAGATTTGTATTCCAGGTGAAGGAAAATTAAATGGGTAAATCGTGGAGACAAGAGTAGGGTAAAATAAAAATAAGATAGGCACTTAAAAATATTACTCTACTAGCAATGCGGGAAATTGATTGCAGAGAGAAAATCTGAACTATATCAATTAAATTATATCAGTACTTCAAGTAGGAAATTATTAAGCTAGTACAAATATACAATCAGTCAATAGGAATAGAAGCTGAGAGATTTGATAAGTACTTGGCAGATGAAAGAAAGAGCACTTGGTTATTGGTGGGTTCAAAAGTTTTGTGGGGAGAGGGATTATACACAGATGATGTTCAAATTTCTAGTTAAGACAATTGGTTGTTTTTTGGAAAAGTTTACCTAAAATAAATTAACACTGGAGAAAAGAAGTTTAGGAATATGAAGTAGAGAAGTATGTTCCAAATCGTGGCCCACTGAGTGACATCCAAGCAAAGACGTTAAAGCTTTATGCTTTGTTTTGCTTTGATTTTTCATAATGGGAAGAAGTTAAATATGTTTAGATTCAAATGGAGATGAATCTAATAGTGAAAACAAATTTTGAAAAAATAGAAGAGTTAAAATAAGTGGACAAAAAATAATGATAATTCTTGATATCCTAGTAATATAAAGTGTGCTGATCAATTCTATCATATTGTCGCACTTCTCTGGAAGATGTTGAGGCATCTCCACAATTATGTTTCTCTATAATTAACATCAGAGAATACCCATAATGTGTCTTCTTTGATCATTAATCATCAGAGAAAACAGTTTTTTTCTGTCCAAAAATACACACAATTTTTTTCATCTTTCCTGAATCAAAGCAAAATGTCTTCTCTATTGTTTTATAATCACCTTTTAATCCAACTTAATCTTCATGGGTTCAAGTATTTCAGCACACTATGGTCTCTCTTTTCTAAATTTCAATCCCAGTATTTTTATTCCTTTGGCCATAAGTTCCTAGATTTCATATCTAATTATTTTTAAACTTTTTCTTGTCCAAGCTTTATTGCCTTGCAGTCTGTGTCTTGTAAATGATCTTTGTTCTTACAACCTCAAAAGGTTTACCATATGAGTCCTAAACTAAATTATGATGAACATGAAAATGATCTCATAAAATGAAGTCAACTGTTTTAATTCAGCCAACTGTTATAGAAACAACATATGCCCTTCCTCATGCTCTTTATAAATTAGAGATATGCATGTGCATTCAACATAAGAATGATTCAACAATAAGACAAAACATAACATCCTAATTGCTATGCCATATGTAAAAGTTGCCATGGAAATATAGGTGAAAATAACTGATATTTAAAAAGAAGAATAAAATTTGGCCCTAAAAGACTGTATGCTCTTAGATTAAGACTACTACTTTTGTGACGTTGGGCAAGTTTTGTTATTGTTGATGTTTTGTTGTTGTTTTTTGTTTGTTTTGTATTTTTAATTATGTCTGTTTCATTTTCTTTCTTACTAGATAGGAACAATGGTAATAAATAATACAAATTTCAATCAAAGTGAAAATCTAGTAAAATAATTATGCAAAATTGTATGCATTAAATCTACAAACTGCAAATCGCTTTACAAATGTTACTTTTAATTTTAATTCATGTGGCAGATCACAGTTCATAAAAGAAAAAGATTTTGAGATGTAGAGATAACGAAAGTGTCTGAAATGAAGGCAGCCCCAGGCTTTAAAAATATGTGTCCTTGGTAAAGATTATTTAGGACTTGGTCAAGGCATGGTTGTACAGTGCCAACACTTACACAGGTGGCTCAGTTGACGTGGGGTATGCGGTGCACAAATGGGCCACAGTATATAAGAAATACATCACATCTCTTAAGCGAACTTAAGATTATCCTTATTTTTTTAACCAGTGATTCCATAATTGTTCTAAGTTTGTTGTTGTTGTTGTTGTTGTTGTTGATGTTTTACATCAGGTAGAATTGAGTGGAACTCCAATTTGACTCTTAATATATTCCAGGTCCAAAGTCATATACTAATCTGATCCAATGGCATTTTCTTGGTAATTATCTTGCTTAAGAACATTTTCTCTTTAATTCAAATAAAGTTATAAGAAGATTAAATAAAAAAACTACCCTTCTGGCCATTATATGTATTACATTATGTGCTAAAGTGTTAGAGATCAAACATAATTTTTAAAAGTTTTCAATTCTCCTGGAATTTAGTATCTATTGGTAAAAACAAAGACATGTACAAATAATTGTAGGACAATATGGAAAATGCTTAAAAATCAATATACTGCAAAATTCATAGGAAGTATACAGAAGAGATGAGTTCTTACAGAGCAAAGATTGTCTCTGTCTAGTGCACTTAATGAGAACTTTACAAAAGATTGAGATTCATAATTGAGTTCTGAATAAAATAGTAATTCAGAAAACAATTCAGGGGAGACAAAATCATAAGTATCTTGCCTTTCTCTATATCCTCTGTCCTGTTTCTTGTTATTGATACTGTGTGTGATGTTGTGCTTATTTACTCTTTATTAAGCCATTTTTTTGCAAGAATTAGTGCACTGAGTGCTTTCCAGTTCTTGTATTGGACCCTCACCATAGTCCTATAATTACTCACTTTGTTATTAAGCAAAATGAGGTTAAAAAGTTAAGCACCTTTTGATCAGATAATTGGAAAGAATTAGATTAAACTTCAGTTTAACAGAACAGTTAGCAGACAATTGGACTTTGTTTATGCAGTATGTCTTTAGGGTTCCGAAGTTGCAGTCTTTATTCTTTGTTCTGTTATGATTTTCCAAAGTCCTCTTTCTTTATTTAGGATACTTTGCAAACTTTTGCTAGGACAATTTTTTTTTTCTTCAGAAGGATAATACAGTAATGTTCAAACTTCTGGATGAGAACACTTAATGGACTGCAGAAGATAATTTTATTTATTTTGTTTCCTTTATCATTAAAAGTGAATAGTCTAGAAAGCTTAATTTACTCCTAACAGAATATAGGCTCAGAAACAAAGGACACACATTGTATTCTTAGACAAACTAAATGGCATTTTGAAAAAATGAATATTCTGCTAACATTCTCATGCATTGCAAGCAATTGAGATATTTTGTCTTCCAGTTTTCAGTTCTCCTGGAATCTAATGTCTAAAGCTCATGGAAAAATATAAGCCAACATTTTATTTTACAGACTCTAATGTAAGAGGATTAGATCTCATTTAAGATGATGTGTAAAATTATTTCAGCCCTGAACATCTCCATAATATTAATTGAAAACATGAAAAGGGAAACAATATTTTAGATAATAATTGAAAAATAGATACCATCCAAAATTATAATCTGGAAAGAAGAGTTTACCCAGTACTGTAAAAAAAAGTGTCCATTATCAAGAGAGGAAGCCCAAAAGCAAAGTCAAGTGCACATAAGAGATGCATGGCTGACCAGACTGACTTCTGGATGGTATGGAATGAACATATATCCATAAAGTAAAATATTGGTGAAAATAAGTACAGTTATAACGATGAAACACAAAAGTTAATCCAAGATTCTTCGGTTATTTGGTACCATTTCTGTTCCCATTTTCTAGTTCATTTGAAACAAAAAATGAGGCATAACATACATAAAGTGCACCAATATTAAATGTACAGTCTGCTGATTTTTTTTTTTTTTTGAGATAGAATCTTGCTCTGTTGCCCAAGCTGGAGTGCAATGGCATGGTCTTGGCTCACTGCAACCTCTGCCGCCTCCCGGGTTCCAGCCATTCTCCTGCCTCAGCTTCCTGAGTAGCTGGAATTATAGGTGACCGCCACCACACCCGGCTAATTTTTGTATTTTTAGTAGAAACGAGGTTTCACCATGTTGGACAGGCTGGTCTCAAATTCTTGACCTCAGGTGATCTGCTCTCCTCAGCTGCCCAAAATGCTGGGGTTACAGGCATGAGACACCACCCCCAGCCATATAGATGTTATTTTTATTATGTCGTTAATGCTTTGAAAGTTATAGATTATATTTTTATATTAGTGTTACTCTTAAATTTTAATGGTAATATTTAATATCTAAAATTTGTCTGTATTTCTACCTTTCTTCACAACATCGTAAGAATTTTAAAATATGTTGACTTCAATCACTTCTTGCTATCTCATGTGTTGTTGCCTTTCAACATTTTCCTTTCCGCTTAGTGGGATTTTCTACTACTTTTTTTGACATCATGATCATTATCATGAACATGATCATCTTCATCATGATTTTTGTTTGCAATTTGTTAAGATTTAAACTCATGCCTTTCTGATACCAGAAATAAAACTCTTTATATATATATATATATATATATATATTATTTTTTTATCATACCTTAAGTTCTAGGGCACATGTGCCCAACGTGCAGGTTTGTTACATATGTATACATGTGCCATGTTGGTGTGCTGCACCCATTAACTCGTCATTTACATTACGTATATCTCCTAATGCTATCCCTCCCCCCTCCCCCCACCCCACAACAGGCCCCAGGGTGTGATGTTCCCCTTCCTGTATCCAAGTGTTCTCATTGTTCAGTTCCCACATGAGTGAGAGCATGTGGTGTTTGGTTTTTCGTCTTTGCGATAGTTTGCTAAGAATGATGGTTTCCAGCTTTATCCATGTCCCTAGGAAGGACATGAACTCATCATTTTTTATGGCTGCATAGTATTCCATGGTGTATACGTGTCACATTTTCTTAATCCAGTCAATCATTGTTGGACATTTGGGTTGGTTCCAAGTCTTTGCTATTGTGAGTAGTGCTCCAATAAACATAGGTGTGCATGTGTATTTATAGTAGCATGATTTATATTCCTTTGCGTACATACCTAGTAATGGGATGGCTGGGTCATATGGTATTTCTAGTTCTAGATCCCTGAGGAATTGCCACACTGACTTCCACAATGGTTAAACTAGCTTACAGTCCCACCAACAGTGTAAAAGTGTTCCTATTTCTCCACATCCTCTCCAGCACCTGTTGTTTCCTTTCTTTTTATTTTTTTATTTTTTTATTTTATTTTATTTTATTATACTTTTAGAGTACAGGTACACAATGTGCAGGTTACTTATGTATGTATACGTGTGCCATGCTGGTGTGCTGCACCCATTAACTCATCATTTAGCATTACGGATATCTCCTAATGCTATCCGTGCCCCTACCCCCCACTCAACAACAGTCCCCAGAGTGTGATGTTGCCCTTCCTGTGTCCATGTGTTCTCATTGTTCAATTCCCACCTATGAGTGAGAACATGCGGTGTTTGGTTTTTTGTCCTTGTGATAGTTTACTGAGACTGATGATTTCCAATTTCATCCATGTCCCTACAAAGGACATGAGCTCATCATTTTTTATGGCTGCATAGTATTCCATGGTGTATATGTGCCACATTTTCTTAATCCAGTCTATCATTGTTGGACATCTCGGTTGGTTCCAAGTCTTTGCTATTGTGAATAGTGTTGCAATAACCATACGTGTGCATGTGTCTTTAGAGCAGCATGATTTATAGTCCTTTGGGTATATACCCAGTAATGGGATGGCTGGGTAAAATGGCATTTCTAGTTCTAAATCCCTGAGGAATCGCCACACTGACTTCCACAATGGTTGAACTAGTTTACAGTCCCACCAAAAGTGTAAAAGTGTTCCTATTTCTCAACATCCTCTCCAGCACCTGTTGTTTCCTAACTTTTTAATGATTGCCATTCTAACTGGTGTGAGATGGTATCTCATTGTGGTTTTGATTTGCATTTCTCTGATGGCCAGTGATGGTGAGCGTTTTTTCATGTGTTTTTTGGCTGCATAAATGTCTTCTTTTGAGAAGTGTCTGTTCATGCCCTTTGCCCACTTTTTGATGGGGTTGTTTGTTTTTTTCTTATAAATTTGTTTGAGTTCATTGTAGATTCTGGATATTAGCCCTTTGTCAGATGAGTAGATTGCAAAAATATTCTCCCATTCTGTAGGTTGCCTGTTCACTCTGATGGTAGTTTCTTTTGCTGTGCATAAGCTCTTTAGTTTAATTAGATCCCATTTGTCAATTTTGTCTTTTGTTGCCATTGCTTTTGGTGTTTTAGACATGAAGTCCTTGCCTACGCCTATGTCCTGAATGGTAATGCCTAGGTTTTCTTCTAGGGTTTTTATGGTTTTAGGTCTAACGTTTAAGTCTTTAATCCATCTTTAATTAATTTTTGTATAAGGTGTAAGGAAGGGATCCAGTTTCAGCTTTCTTCATAAGGCTAGCCAGTTTTCCCAGCACCATTTATTAAATAGGGAATCCTTTCCCCATTGCTTGTTTTTCTCAGGTTTGTCAAAGATCAGATAGTTGTAGATATGTGGCATTATTTCTGAGGGCTCTATTCTGTTCCATTGATCTTTATCTCTGTTTTGGTACCAGTACCATGGTGTTTTGGTTACTGTAGCCTTGTAGTATAGTTTGAAGTCAGGTAGCGTGATGCCTCCAGCTTTGTTCTTTTGGCTTAGGATTGACTTGGTGATGCGGGCTCTTTTTTGGTTCCATATGAACTTTAAAGTAGTTTTTTCCAATTCTGTGAAGAAAGTCATTGGTAGCTTGATGGGGATGGCATTGAATCTATAAATTACCTTGGGCAGTATGGCCATTTTCACGATACTGATTCTTCCTACTCATGACATGGAATGTTCTTCCATTTCTTGGTATCCTCTTTTATTTCATTGAGCAGTGGTCTGTAGTTCTTCTTGAAGAGGTCCTTCACGTCCCTTGTAAGTTGGATTCCTAGGTATTTTATTCTCTTTGAAGCAATTGTGAATGGGAGTTCACTCATGATTTGGTTCTCTGTTTGTCTGTTATTGGTGTATAAGAATGCTTGTGATTTTTGTACATTGATTTTGTATCCTGAGACTTTGCTAAAGTTGCTTATCAGCTTAAGGAGATTTTGGGCTGAGACAATGGGGTTTTCTAGATATGCAATCATGTCATCTGCAAATAGGGACAATTTGACTTCCTCTTTTCCTAACTGAATACCCTTTATTTCCTTCTCCTGCCTAATTGCCCTGGCCAGAAGTTCCAACACTATGTTGAATAGGAGTGGTAAGAGAGGGCATCCCTGTCTTGTGCCAGTTTTCAAAGGGAATGCTTCCAGTTTTTGCCCATTCAGTATGATATTGGCTGTGGGTTTGTCATAGACAGCTCTTATTATTTTGAGATACGTCCCATCAATACCTAATTTATTGAGAGTTTTTAGCATGAAGGGTTGTTGAATTTTGTCAAAGGCCTTTTCTGCATCTATTGAGATAATCATGTGGTTTTTGTCTTTGCTTCTGTTTATATGCTGGATTACATTTATTGATTTGCATATATTGAACCAGCCTTGCATCCCAGGGATGAAGTCCACTTGATCATGGTGGATGAGCTTTTTGATGTGCTGCTGGATTCAGTTTGCCAGTATTTTATTGAGGATTCTTGCATCAATGTTCATCAAGGATATTGGTCTAAAATTCTCTTTTTTGGTTGTGTCTCTGCCAGGCTTTGGTGTCAGGATGATGCTGGCCTCATAAAATGAGTTAGGGAGGATTCCCTCTTTTTCTATTGATTGCAATAATTTCAGAAGATATGGTACCAGTTCCTCCTTCTACCTCTGGTAGAATTCGGCTGTGAATCCATCTGGTCCTGGACTCTTTTGTTTGGTAAGCTATTGATTATTGCCACAATTTCAGCTCCTGTTATTGGTCTATTCAGAGATTCAACTTCTTCCTGGTTTGGTCCTGTGAGGGTGTATGTGTCGAGGAATTTATCCATATATTCTAGATTTTCTAGTTTATTTGCGTAGAGGTGTTTGTAGTATTCTCTGATGGTAGATTGTATTTCTGTGGGATCAGTGGTGATATCCCCTTTATCATTTTTTATTGCATCTATTTGATTCTTCTCTCTTTTCTTCTTTATTAGTCTTGCTAGTGGTCTATCAATTTTGTTGATCCTTTCAAAAAACCAGCTCCTGGATTTGTTAATTTTTTGAAGGGTTTTTTGTGTCTCTATTTCCTTCAGTTCTGTTCTGATTTTAGTTATTTCTTGCCTTCTGCTAGCTTTTGCATGTGTTTGCTCTTGCTTTTCTAGTTCTTTTAATTGTGATGTCAGGGTGTCAATTTTGGATCCTTCCTGCTTTCTCCTGTGGGCATTTAGTGCTATACATTTCCCTCTACACACTGCTTTGAATGTGTCTCAGAGATTCTGGTATGTTGTGTCTTTTTTCTCATTGCTTTCAAAGAACGTCTTTATTTCTGCCTTCATTTCCTTATGTACCCAGTAGTCATTCAGGAGCAGTTTGTTCAGTTTCCATGTAGTTGAGTGGTTTTGAGTGATTTTCTTAATCCTGAGTTCTAGTGTGATTGCACTGTGGTCTGAGAGACAGTTTGTTATAATTTCTGTTCTTTTACATTTGCTGAGGAGTGCTTTACTTCCAACTATGTGGTCAATTTTGGAATAGGTGTGGTGTGGTGCTGAAAAAAATGTATATTCTGTTGATTTGGGGTGGAGAGTTCTGTAGATGTCTATTAGGTCTGCTGGGTGCAGAGCTGAGTTCAATTCCTGGGTATCCTTGTGAACTTTCTGTCTCGTTGATCTATCTAATGTTGACAGTGGGGTGTTAAAGTCTCCCATTATTATTGTGTGGGAGTCTAAATCTCTTTGTAGGTCACTCAGGACTTGCTTTATGAATCTGCATGCTCCTGTATTGGGTGCATATATATTTAGGATAGTTAGCTCTTCTTGTTGAATTGATCCCTTTACCATTAAGTAATGGCCTTGTCTCTTTTGATCTTTGTTGGTTTAAAGTCTGTTTTATCAGAGACTAGGATTGCAACTCCTGCCTTTTTTGTTTTCCATTTGCTTGGTAGATCTTCCTCCATCCTTTTATTTTGAGCCTATGTGTGTCTCTGCATGTGAGATGGGTTTCCTGAATACAGCACATTGATGGGTCTTGACTCTTTATCCAATTTGCCAGTCTGTGTCTTTTAATTGGAGCATTTAGTCCATTTACATTTTAAGTTAATATTGTTAGGTGTGAATTTGATCCTGTCATTATGATGTTAGCTGGTTATTTTGCTCATTAGTTGATGCAGTTTCTTCCTAGTCTCGATGGTCTTTACAATTTGGCATGATTTTGCAGCAGCTGGTACCAGTTGTTCCTTTCCATGTTTAGTGCTTCCTTCAGGAGCTCTTTTAGGGCAGGCCTGGTGGTGACAAAATCTCTCAGCATTTGCTTGTCTGTAAAGTATTTGATTTCTCCTTCACTTATGAAGCTTCGTTTGGCTGGATATGAAATTCTGGATTGAAAATTCTTTTCTTTAAGAATGTTGAATATTGGCCCCCACTCTCTTCTGGCTTGTAGAGTTTCTGCCGAGAGATCCGCTGTTAGTCTGATGGGCTTCCCTTTGTGGGTAACCCTGCCTTTCTCTGTGGCTGCCCTTAACATTTTTTCCTCCATTTCAACTTTGGTGAATCTTACAATTATGTGTCTTGGAGTTGCTCTTCTCAAGGAGTATCTTTATGGTTTTCTCTGTATTTCCTGAATCCGAATATTGGCCTGCCTTGGTAAATTGGGGAAGTTCTCTTGGATAATATCCTGGAGAGTGTTTTCCAACTTGGTTCCATTCTCCCCGTCACTTTCAGGTACACCAATCAGATGTAGTTTTCATCTTTTCACATAGTCCCATATTTCTTGGAGGCTTTGTTCATTTCTTTTTATTCTTTTTTCTCTAAACTTCCCTTCTCGCTTCATTTCATTCATTTCATCTTCCATCACTGATACCCTTTCTTCCAGTTGACCGCATCGGCTCCTGAGCCTTCTGCATTCTTCTTGAGCCTTGGCTTTCAGCTCCATCAGCTCCTTTAAGCACTTCTCTGTATTGTTTATTCTAGTTATACATTCGTCTAAATCTTTTTCAAAGTTTTTAACTTCTTTGCCTTTGGTTTGAATTTCCTCCTGTAGCTCAGAGTAGTTTGATCGTCTGAAGCCTTCTTCTCTCAATTCGTCAAAGTCATTCTCTGTCAGCTTTGTTCCATTGCTGGTGAGGAATTGCATTCCTTTGGAGGAGGAGAGGTGCTCTGCTTTTTAGAGTTTCCAGTTTTTCTGCTCTGTGTTTTCCCCATCTTTGTGGTTTTATCTACTTTTGGTCTTTGATGATGGTGATGTACAGATGGGTTTTTGGTGTGGATGTCCTTTCTGTTTGTTAGTTTTCTTTCTAACAGATAGGACCCTCAGCTGCAGGTCTGTTGGGGTTTGCTAGAGGTCCACTCCAGACCCTGTTTGCCTGGGTATCAGCAGCAGCAGCTGCAGAACAGCAGATTTTCCTGAACCGCGAATGCTGCTGTCTGATCGTTCCTCTGGAAGTTTTGTCTCAGAGGAGTACACAGCCATGTGAGGTGTCAGTCTGCCCCTACTGGGGGGTGCCTCCCAGTTAGGCTGCTCAGGGGTCAGGGGTCAGGGACCCACTTGAGGAGGCAATCTGCCCATTCTCAGATCTCCAGCTGCGTGCTGGGAGAACCACTGCTCTCTTCAAAGCTGTCACACAGGGACATTTAAGTCTGCAGAGGTTACTGCTGTCTTTTTGTTTGTCTGTGCCCTGCCCCCAAAGGTGGAGCCTACAGAGGCAGGCAGGCCCCCTTGAGCTGTGGTGGGCTCCACCCAGTTTGAGCTTCCCCGCTGCTTTGTTTACCTAAGCAAGCCTGGGCAATGGTGGGTGCCACTCCCCCAGCCTCACTGCCGCCTTGCAGTTTGATCTCAGACTGCTGTGCTAGCAGTCAGCGAGATTCCATGAGTGTAGGATCCTCTGAGCCATGTACAGTGTATCATCTCCTGGTGTGCCGTTTTTAAGGCTGTCGGAAAAGCGCAGTATTCGGGTGGGAGTGACCTGATTTTCCAGGTGCCATCTGTCACCTGTTTCTTTGACTAGGAAAGGGAACTCCCTGACCCCTTATGCTTCCCCAGTGAGGCAATGCCTCACCCTGCTTTGGCTCATGCACAGTGCGCTGCACCCACTGTCCTGCGCCCACTGTCTGGCACTCCCTAGTGAGATGAACCCGTTACCTCAGATGGAAATGCAGAAATCACCCGTTTTCTGCATCGCTCATGCTGGGAGCTGTAGACTAGAGCTGTTCCTATTCGGCCATCTTGGCTGCCTCCTCCTGTTTCCTGACTTTTTAATGATCGCTATTCTAAGTGGTGTGAGATGATATCTCACTGTGGTTTTGATTTGCATTTCTCTGATGGCCAGTGATGATGAGCATTTTTTCATGTGTCTATTGGCTACATAAATGTCTTCTTTTGAGAAGTGTCTGTTCATATCCTTCACCCACTTTTTGATGGGGTTTTTTTTGTTGTTGTAAATTTGTTTGAGTTCTTTGTAGATTCTGGATATGAGCTCTTTGTCAGATGAGTAGATTGCAAAAATTTTCTCCCATTCTGTAGGTTGCTTGTTCACTCTGATGTAGAGACACAAAAAAACCTACATAACATCAATGAAACCAGGAGCTGGTTTTTTTAAAGATCAACAAATTTGATTGACCACTAGCAAGACTAATAAATAAGAAAGGAGAGAAGAATCAAATAGTCACAGTAAAAAATGACAAAGGGGATATCACCACCTATCCCACAGAAATACAAACTACCATCAGAGAATACTATAAACACCTCTATGCAAATAAACTAGAAAATCTAGACGAAATGGATAAATTCCTGGACACATACACCCTCCCAAGACTAAACCAGGAGGAAGTTGAATCTCTTAATAGACCAATAACAGGCTCTCAAATTGAGGCAATAATTAATAGCTTACCAAGCAAAAAAAGCCCAGGACTAGATGGATTCACAACGGACTTCTACCAGAGGTACAAGGAGGAACTGGTACCATATCTTCTGAAACTATTGCAATCAATAGAAAAAGAGGGAATCCTCCCTAACTCATTTTATGAGGCCAGCTTCATCCTGATACCAAAGCCTGGTAGAGACCCAACAAAAAAAGAGAATTTTAGACCAATATCCCTGATGAACATCAATGCAAAAATCCTCAATAAAATACTGGCAAACCAAATCCAGCAGCATATCAAAAAGCTTATTCACCATGATCAAGTGGGCTTCATCCCTGGGATGCAAGGCCTGTTCAACATATGCAAATCAATAAACAGAACCAAAGACAAAAACCACATAATTATCTCAATAGATGCAGAAAAGGCCTTCAACAAAATTCAACAGCGCTTTGTGCTAAAAACTCTCAATAAGTTAGGTATTGATGGGATGTATCTAAAAATAATAAGAGCTATTTATGACAAACCCACAGTCCATATCATACAGAAATAAAACTCTTAACCTATACTCTTCATTCTCTGTCTGGGTACATAGAAACAGAAGACAGATCACAAATATTTGGAAAGAGAATCCTGCTTTAATGTGGATTTACTATCTGAGAGATGAAGTGGATTCAGGTTCAAGAGAACAAATAGTTTAGGGTAACTGTAGAGAAAATAATGAGTTGCAGAGAAAAACAACTCAGAATATAGGGTTTGTATGTACCATTGGGATGGGGTTGTATGCTTAAAGAATGTGGCTCAAGGCCAGGTACTGTGGCTCACACCTGTAATTCCAGTATTTTGGAAGGCTAAATCAGGAGATTACTTAAGCTCAGGAGTTTGAGGCCAGCCTGAGTAACATACCGAGATCCCATCTCTACAAAGACTAAAAATGATTAGCCATTAGTGGTGATGCACTTCTGTAGTCCTAGCTACTTGGGAGACTGAGGTAGGAGGATGGCCTGAGCCCAAGAGGTTGAGGATGCAGTGAGCCACGATCACACCACTGCGCTCCAGCCTTAGTAAAAGAGACCCTGTCTCAAAAATAAAAAAAAAAAAATGGGGCTTGAGCCACTGGGATAATCTTTTTTATAGAATGTGCATACCTGAGAGATATGATAGGCATGATTCAAGACCACAACAATAACGCAAATATCACAATAAAGTGAATCATATTTTTTTATATTTCCAGTTTATATAAAAATTATGTTTATACTATACTCCACTTTATGAAGAGTTCAATAGCATTATGTCTGAAAAAAACAAGGTACATGCCATAATTAAAAATTGTTTATTGCTAAAAAATATTAGTAATCATCTTACCCTACAGCAAATTATAAGTATCTTGCTAGTGGTGGGTCTTGCCTCAATGTAGCTGGATGTAGACTGATCTTGGTGGTGGTTGCTGAAGGTTAGGGTGGCTGTGGCAATTTCTTAAAATAAGACAACAATGAAGTTTGCTGCACTAACTCTTCATTTCCCAAAAATAATTCTCTGTAGAATGTGATGCTGTCTGATAGCATTTTACCCACAGTAGAACTTATTTCAAAATTGGAGTCAATCATCTCAAAACTTGCTGCTGCTTTGTCAACTAAGTTTACATAATATTCTAAACCATTTGTTCTCATTTCAACAATATTCACAGCATCTTCACCAGGGGAAGAGTTCATATCAAGAAACTACATTTTGTGCTCATCCTTATCTGTTTAAGTTTGGTCATGACATTCTATCGCTTATATCTTCAGGCTCAACTTCTAATTTTAATTCTCTTGCTATTTCCACCACATCTGTGGTGACTTCCTCCACTGAAGTCTTGAATCCCTCAAATTCATCCATGAGGTTTAAAATCAATTTTCTTTCAAATTGTTGTTAATATTAACATTTTTACCTACTCCCATGAATCAAAGATGTTCTTAATGGCATCTAGAATGATGATGTTTTTTCTCAAGGTTTTCAATGGACTCACCCAAATCCATCAGAGGAATCACTATCTAATGTAGTTGTAGCGTTATGGAATGTATTATAATAAGAATTGAAAGTCAAAATGACTCCTTGATACGTGGGCTGCAGAATGGATGTTGGGTTAGCAGGCATAAAAACAACATTAATATCCTTGAACATTTCTATCAGAGTTCTTTGGTACCCAGTTGCATTGTTAATGAACAGTAATATTTTGAAAATAATATATATTTTTGAGCAGTAGGTCTCCACAGTGGGCCTAAAGTATTCAGTAAATCATACTAGAAAAGAGGTGCTGTCATTCAGGCTTTGCTTTTCCATATATAGGGCACAAACAGAGTACATTTAGTGTAATTCATAAGGGCTATGGGCTTTTTTGGAGTGGCAAATGAGTACTGGCTTCAATTTAATGTCACCAGCTGCATTTAGCACCTAACAAGAGAGTCACCTTGTCCTTTGAAGCTTTGAAGCTTTGAAGCCAGACATGGACATTGCCTCTCTCAAAATGCATGTCCCAGATGGCCTCCTCTTCCAATAGAAAGCTGTTTTGTCTACATTAAATATCTATTGTTCCATGCAGCAACCTCCATCCATTAGCTAGAGTTCTTGGGTAACTTACTGTAACTTCTATATCAGAACTTGCTACTTCACCTTGCACTTTTGTTATAGAGACAGCTTCTTTCCTTAAACCTCATGAACCAAGTTCTGCCACATTCAAATTTTCCTTTTGCAACTTATTAACCTCTCTCAGCCTTCACAGAAATGAAGAGAATTATGGCCTTGCTCTGGAATAGGCTTTGGCTTAAGGTAATGCTGTGTATGATTTGATATTCTATTTGAACCACTGGAACTTTCAACATGTTAGTAATAAGCGGTTTCTGATTATTTGCATGTTCACTGAAGTAACACTTTTAATTCCCTTCAATAACTTTTTATTCTACATTCACAACTTGGCTAAATGTTTGGTGTAAGAGGCCTAGCTTTCAGCCTATTTTGGCTTTAGATACACCTTCCTTACTAAACTTAATTATTTCTAGCTTTTGATATAAAGTGAGAGACATTCAATTCTTTCTTTCACTTGAACAAGTAGGGGCCATCATAACATTATAAACTGACCTAATTTTAATGTTGTTGTTTCTCAGGGAATAGGAAGGGCCAAGGAGAGGAAGAGAGTCAGGGAAATGGCTGGCTGGTGGAGCAGACAGAACACATGCAATTTAGTTTACCAATTAACTTCACAATCTTATAAAGTCATGGTTCATGGTGCCTTAAAGCAATTACAATAGTAACAAAGATCACTAATTAAAGATCACCATAACAGGTATTATAATAATAATAAAAAATTTGAAATATTGTTAGAATAACTAAGTGGATTTGTAAAAAGTACCTATACAAGTGAAGCTCAATAAAGTGAAGCATAATAAAGCAAGGTATGCCTGCAATTTGTACTGAAGACATTAATTTATTATTTAATTTTTATTGATGCATAATAGATGCACAATTTGTTGGGTACATGTGATAATTTGATACATTTATATAATTTGTAGAGATCAAATCATTATAATTGTATATAACAACATTATATAATTATAAAGATCAAATCAACATAATTTGTAATTTACATTCTCCATCATAGCGCACCTTAAATCTTTGCCTGTTCTTAAATTAGAAACATTTAAATTATTATCTTCTAACTATCTTGATACTTACAATATATTATTGTTAACTACAGTTACCCTATTGGTTCATCAAGCACTAGGTTTTATTTCGTCTATGAAACTGTATGTTTGTACCCATTAATCAACCTGTCTTCTCTTCTTTCCCCCTACCTTTCCTGGCCTCTGGCAACCACTATTATGCTGTCTATCTTCAAGAGATCTGCTTTTTTAGCTTCCTCATAAGAGTGAGAACATGTCTGCCCTTGGCTTTTTTCACTTAATGAAATCCAGTTTCCACATGTTTCAGCAAATAACAGGGTTTCATTGTTTGAGGCTGAGTAATATTCCATTGTATACTCCATTTTCATTATCCATTCATTCATTGATGAACCCTAAGGTTGACTCCATATTTTGGCTATTTTAAAGAGTGCTGCAATAAACATAGAAGTGCAGGTATCTATTCAATATACTGATTTCATTTATGTTAGGTGTATACCAGGCGGTTGGATTGCCAAATCATATGGTAGTTCTGCTTTTAGGTTTATGAAGAACCTCCGTACAGTTGTCCATAGTGGTTATACTAATTTACATAACCCACCATAGTACAAAGGTTTTCCTTTCTCCAAATTCTCACTTGTTATTTCCATTCTTTTTGATAAAAGCAATTTTAACTGGGGTAAGGTCATATCTCATTGTGGTTATGATCTGCATTTCTCTGATGTTTAGTGACATTGATTCTTTCATATACCTGGTAGCCATTTGTATATCTGCTTTTGAGAAAAGTCTTTTCAGATTATTTACACATATTGTAATTAGATTTTTATGCTTTTATTTTTTACTATTGAGTAGTTTCAGTTCCTTATATATTCCTTATTAATCCCTTGTCAGATGAATAGTTTGCAATATTTTTTTCTCATTCAATAAGTTGTCTTTCTAGTTTGTTGATTTTCTGTGCAGAAACTGTTTAGCTTGATGCAATTTTGTTTCCATTTTTGCTTTTGTTCCCTATGTTTTTCAGGTCTTATTCAAAAAATGTTTTGCCAGACAAATGTCTTGCAGCATTTCTCCAATGTTTTCTTCTAGCAGTTTCATAGTTTCTGATCTTACATGTAAGCTGTTTCAGAATAGGCTGTCTTGAGGCCATGTGGATTCAAATTGTCCCAAAGCATTATTTTTAGGAGAAGTAACATTAACAGGGACTACATTTTCTGATGAAAATTCTTCTTATCATCTTTCTGGGGAACTGTGGAGCCACAAGATATCAAAGTGGGCAGTTAAGACAAAGAACAAAATCAAAATTTGCAATCAAACCTTTATGTATTTAAAGCCAGAGTATAAGCAAGATGAAATAAAGAGGTTTCAGCTCTGCAATTTTTTATATCTCCCATGGAACTTCATCTGGTGGGGTCAGGTAAACAGCAACACCTGGGGGAAATAATAGACCAAACATGATCTGTAGTCCAAGAATGTCCTGGGCTCTTTGCTGGAAGTATCAGATCCTAGGCAGTATTTTTAGCATTAGCCAAGGTCTGACAGGTGAGACAATTTTTCATCCTGTTTCAGCATTTTCTAATGGCAATGGCAATCATGTGTGTAGGCCCAGTCTAGGTGGTGTCTGAATCCTTAGGAGACTTCCTCTTGCTGATCTAGGAATTAATTAGTTGCACATATGCTTGATCTGGGATGGAAAACAATTCAGTTTCTGCATTTTACTGACAAGAGTGTTCTGTTTTTTGGTTTTGTTCCTTTTCATCAGTGTAGGGGCTTTTTCTGGTAAGTATTCACAGGGTAACAAAAAGCTTATCTGGAGCAGAAACCATTTTTTATCTAAATGCCTCATCCCAATGGAGTGGCTTGATTTATAGCCAGTCTGAGGCTTGCCCCTGGACCTACTAAACAGTCAGACCATAAGCCATAGTCCATGGATTAGTGAAAATGCAGCATGGCTCACTGTAGGGTGGCTTGGATAGTTATTCATATCATATGAAACTCTGCTTATTGTTTTGAACATGCTTTACTGTGCTCTGTAAGTGACACATCTGTCTCAAGTAGGATTATTTTGAGAAGAGAATAGCACTAGGTAACATTAGTCAGGTTGCTTCATAGTATTCCACATTCCCTACTAATATGGCCCTAAATTATAGCAATTCTCTCAGGACTTGGGGGCAAGATTATTACTGTTATTACTGTTTTATTACTACTGAGTATTTGAGCTCCCTATATATTCTGGTTATTAATTCTAGATGAATCAGATTGGTAGTTTGCAAATATTTTCTCCCATTTTGCATGTTGTCTCTTAATTTTGTTGATTATTTCCTTTGTTGTGTGGAAGTTTTTTATCTTGATGTAATCCCAATTTGTCTATTTTTTCTTTAGTTACTTGTGTTTTGAAGTCACACTCAAAAGATCTTTGCCCAGAATAATGTCCTACATTATTTCCCCAAAGTTGTATTCTAGTAATTTTGTAGTTTCAGGTCTTTATTTATTTAATTCAATTTCATTTGATTGTTTTGCATATGGTAAGAGACAGAGGTCTGGTTTCATTCTTCTGCAACTGGTTACCCAGTTTTCCCAAGAATACTTATTGAAGAGGCTATCTTTTCCCCACTATATATCCTTGGAACCTGTACCAAAAGTGAGTTTACTATAACTGTGTGGATTTATTTCTGTGTTCTCCATTAATTTCCATTGGCGTATGTGTCTGTCTTTATGACAGTACCATGCAATTTGGTTACTGTAGCTTTGTAGTATATTTTAAAATCACTTAGTTTGATGTGTTCAGATTTGTTCTTTTTGCTCAGAATTGTTTTGGCTATCTAGTCTTTTGTCATTCTACATACATTTTAGAATTTATTTTTCTACTTCTGCAAAAATTGTCATTGATATTTTGACAGAAATTGCATAGAATCTGTAAATTTAATTTGGCAGAATTGTCACTTTAACAATATTAATTATTTCAATTCATAAGCCTGTAATATATTTTCTTTTTTGGTATTCTTTTCAATTTCTCTCATCAGTGTTTTATAGTTTTGCTTATATACATCTTTCATTTCTTTGGTTAAATTGATTCCTAGGCATTTTATATTCTTTATAGCTACTGTATATGAGATTACTTACTAGATTCCTTTTTCAAATTGTTCACTGTTGACATATCTAAATGCTACTGATTTTTGTATGTTGCTTTTATATTCTTCAAATTAATGAAATTTGTTTATCAGTGCCAACAGATTTTATTTGTTTGTGTTTTTTTTATGGAGTCTTTAAGTTTTTCTAGGTATAAGATCATGTCATTTTCAAAAAGGGCTAATTTGGCTTCTTTCCTTCCAATTTGAATGCCCTTTCTTTCTCTTGCTTAATTGTTCTGGCCAGGACTTCCAGTAGTATGTTGCAGAAGTGTGATAAAAGTGAACATCATTGTCTTGTTCCAGATCTTGGAGGAAAGGATTTCAAATTTTTTTTCCTGTTCAGTACGATATTAGCCATGGCTTTGTCATATTGGTCTTTATTATTATGAGGTATTTCCTTCTATTACACTAGTTTGTCGAAAAAAATTTTTAGTCACAAAGGGATGTTGAATTTTATCCAATGTTTTCACAGCTTCTATTGAAATAATTGTATGTTTTTTGTTCTTAAACCTGTTAATGTGATTTGTCATGTTTATTGATTTGTGTATGTTGAACAATCCTTATACTCCTGGAATGAATCACACTTGATCACAGAGAATGATATTTTTAATGTGCTATTGAATTCCATTTGCTATTATTTTGTTGAGAATTTCTGCATCTATGTTTATCATTGATATTAATCTGCAGTTTTCTTTTTTTGTTGCATCACTATCTGGTTTTGGCATCAGGGTAATGCTAACCTCATAGAATGCATTTTAAAGTATTTCTTCTTCTTTAATTTTTTTCTAGTAATGTCAATAGAATTAATAATAGTTTTTAAAAAATATTTGGCAGATTTTAGCAGTGAAGCCATCGTGTCCTGGGCTTTTCTTTGATAGAAGACTTTTTATCCATGCTTTGATTTCATTATTCATTCCAGGTTTATGGAAGTTTTTTTTAAATATCCGTGCTATTATTATATTATGGTTTATCTATTCCATTAACTATTAATGCTTGCTTTATATACTTGGGAGCTCCAGTGTTGTGTGCATAGATATTTATTATTGTTATATTCTCATGATAAATTGACTGCTTTATTTTTATGTAGTGACATTCTTCATCTCTATTTTCAGTATTTTATTTGTAGTCTGTTTTATCTGATATAAATATAGCTACTTCTGATTTTTCTGGTCTGTATTTATATAGAATATCTTTTCTGTCCTTTCACTTCCTTTTTCTGTGTGTCTTTATGGGAGATGTCAGCTTCTCATAGGCACTATATAGTTGGGTCTTGTTTCTTAATCCATTCAGCCACTTTATCTCTTTTAATTGAACAATTGAGTACAATTATATTCAGTGTTATTATTGATGAGGAAAAACTTACTACTGCTGTTTTGTTGCCACTTATCTGAATGTTTCATAGCTTCTCTCTTTCTTCCTTTTTTTCAGTCTTACATTTGCCTAAGTAATTTTTATGGTAGTATGTTTTATTTCATTACATTTTTTATTTTTAGTGAATCTATTATGTTTTTGTACTGGGGTTACGATGAGTCTTGCAAAAAATCTTTTAGATATAACTCGTTATTTTAAAGAGATTATAACTTCTCTTAGATCACAAAGAAAATATAAAAAAATGACAATAGAATAAAAGAAAAAGAAACATCTACAATTTAACTCCATCCCCTCACCATGTTTTGACTTTTTGTTGTCTCAATTTACACATTTTTATATTGTGTATTGCTTCTCGGGTTGTTGTAGGTATTTTTTTTCATAGATTTGTCTTTTAAACTTCATACTACGATTATGAGTGGATTGCACACCACAATTTCAGTGTTAGAGTATTCTGGGTTTTCTGTGTATATTTTACCAATGGTTTTTATACCATATGTTTTGTTTTTGCATGCTAGTGGTTCTTTTTCATCGGATTGAAGAAATTCACTCAGAATTTCTTATGAGACAGAGCTGGTGTTAGTGAATTCTCTCAGTTTGTTTTTTTTAATTTTTGGTCTGGGAAATAGTTTATATCTCCATATTTGAAGAACAGCTCTGCTGAAAACAGCATGCTTGGATGGCATTTTTTTTTCCTTTCAGTACTTTAAAAATGTTGTTCCATTCTCTTCTGACCTATATACTTTCTATTTAGAAGTCTCTTGCCAAACAAAGTAGAGCTCCTTTACATGTTATTCGCTTATTTTCCCCTGCTGCTTTTAGGGTCCTGTCTTTGCCACTGGCCTTTCAGAGTTTGATCATTGTGTCTTATGTTGGTTTTATTGAGGTTGAAACTGTCGTGTGTTTTCTGACCTTCCTGTACCTACATATTTATCTCTTTCTCGAGTTTTTGATTATTTTCTGTGGTTATTTGTTTGAATAAGCTTTATATTTCTTCCTTACTCTTGTTCTACTCACTTTTAAACAATAATTTTTAGATTTCATCTATTGAGGTAATTTTTTGTATATTATAGATAATCTTTGTTTCTTTTCATTCTTTTTTCTTTTTCCTTCTCTGATTACATTTTCAAATAGCCTGTCTTTTAGGTCATTAATTATTTCCTCTGCTTTATCCAGTCTGCTGTTGTCTCTAATGCATTTTTCAGTTTGTCAAATCTATTTATTTCAAGATTCCTGTTTGTTTGTTTTTATTATTTCAATCTTTTCATTAATTTCTGTGATTATTAATTTCTGAGTTGCTTCTCTGTGTTATCTTCAAGGTCACTGAGTTTCCTTAAAACTGTTATTTTGAATTCTTCATCAGGGAGCTAATAACATATTGCCATCTTGTTAGGGTCAGTTACTGTTTCTAGTTTTGTCAGTTTAAGGAGGTCATGGTTTTCTGTTTGCATTGTTTCTTGTGAATGTACATCTAGTCTTTGCATTGAAAGTGTTTGCATTATTTATTTATTCTAGTCTTCTCTATCTGGCTTTTTTTTTAATGTTTGCTTGGAGATTTTTATTTACCTGTTGGTTACTTTTTTCTATAAGATCACTGCCTCCTCATTGGCATTTGATGATGCTTTAGGCTGAGCTGTGCCTCAGTTCTAGAAAAAAAAAAAATCAGAGTGTTATCTCTCCCAGTTGGAGATGTCTCAAAGGGGATATCACAGTAGTGTGGGAGGGCTGGCTAGGGGTTTGTGGCCAGGGGACCTGTGGAACACACCTTCTACAGTGTGGTGCTGCTTTGGCATCTCCTTTCACCAAGTTAGAGCAGAGTTTCCAGGGCTGGGGATGGTGGTCTTCCTTTCCCTTTTGTCTCTGGATGTCCTCAAGGATATTTATCTCTGTAGGCACTCCAAATGCTTCCCTTGAGTGAAGAAAAGGATAGGTCTGCTGCCAGGGAACTAAAAATGGTGGGGAAGTTACTTGTCCACCTCAATCTCACTTCTTATTTAGTGTAGAAACTAAGAGTCAGGGGAAATTTTTCCAGGTCCTTGGTGCTGCACATATTGGGGACAGGGACATCGTGGATATAAAAGTCCAATTTTCTTATCATTTGCTTGGAGGTTTTTCACTTCTGTGTGGTCAGGAAACTCTCCCATCGTCATGTTTGTGTTCTGCAACACTACTGGTGATAATCTCACCACGGTATGTTTGCTTCTGATTTCCCATTAGGGTGGGTGATGAATCCTTTTCGGCCAACATTTTTGAACTGGACATCCCAATAATTTCTTAATATCTAACATACTCTATGTTCTCAAGTAACTTTTATGCATATTTCTATAATCAATGTTACTAATTTATAAAAATTGTTCTAATTAAACGTTCTGTTTTGTGGCAAGAGAGAAACTTGGTTCATGCTTTAACATTTAAAAAAAATCCCCAAAGAAAAGTCAAAGACACACGTAAAGAAATCAGTATAAATACTTTTTGATAAATGAAAATAGTTTTATAGTATGGCTATAAAGCTCCTTCACATATTCCGAAGACAAGTGTTTACAAGGAAAAATTAATCAGCTCAATTAAAACTACATAGCTTAAGTTTAGTAAGTTATTTATTCTCTTTTATAGGATAGTTATAGTATGATTTTGATATTCTTGGATATTACATGTAAATTCTATATCTGGGAATAGAATTGTTGAATAAGTGTACAGAAAATAGGTATTTTATGTTACTATACAAACTTATATAAAATTTAGTTTTAAAAATATAAGCAGCTATAAAATAAATTATACATCACACCCTGAGTATATTTCCATAGGCTTTAACATCTTAATCATTAAAGAAAATAAAAATCTCTCAATTACCACTCTTCAGAAGTTTCTAAAGAAAGTTCCTAGAAAAAAATAGATAATTTCTGTAGCTGGAGCATAATTTATGCTATTTAGAAATATTTGTCTTATTTTAAAATTTTTAAACTAAGTATTGAAGTATTGTTTTAAATCCACATACCTCTGTTACAGATCCAGAATAATAATAACAATCATTTCCTTCCAATTATATGCACCTGTTTCTCATCTTCAACTACAATAGTAATAACAATAAATCTTAATAATCTTTGATTAAGAAGTTTCTCTTTGCCTGCCAGAGTTGTAACTTATTTAGCTCTCACAATGACCCAGTTAGTGGTATTCTGCTCATGGAGATAAGAACTGAAGCACAGTTAACAAACTGAAAAATATTTAATGAGATTAGTGAAATGAACCATTGATAGAGGTAAAGGTTTACTTGTACCATAAAAATAACTTGGATTCCGGAAGATGATTGTGAACATTTAGTTAATTGTTTAAAATTTGATTGATGCACTTTGAAGTTGTTAATAGCAGTAATTGTACAAGTAATAATGAAAATAGTAATGCCAGTAGATTCTTAACAACATAAACATTTCTAATTTTCTTACGTGGGCTTTTTGTATTGCTCTATTTTAACCTGAGAGAAACATTAATTTTATTGTCATAGATACTTTTTTTTCACATTTTATAGTGTAGTTGTTATATTCTAGACATGGTCATAAGCTGACTTTTAAATAAAGTGTGATATGTCTATGGCAAGAAAACAGCATTTCAATAGATGAATTTAAGCCAAAACATTTTTAGGGGGTCCAAAATAAAAGACTTCATCAATTGAACTGACCAGTTCAAGAGCTTTAATTTTTTTTTAATTCCCAAGTCACTTTTGTGTGTAAAGACATCTATAACCTACCTGACCTTGCTCCATTAATGATGTTCAGACTCCTACACACTGGAAAAGCAGCAAGTCACTAGGGAAAAATGCTCTGCAAGTGCAGCCATTGTTCTCGCACTTCTCAACTCCCAGGTGCATGTACATACTATTTAAATAGAGTCTTATCCAGGGTGCCACTTACTATAAATGGCTTTCTAGTTAGGCAGAGATAGCAGACCCACAGCTCTGCTCCTTAAACCGGAATAATCACAGTCAGATCTTATCACAGGATATGACTTGAAATTTTCACATGGACTAGCCAATTCTAAGAGTTTCATAAAATTAAATTTCTTATTTAAAATCCATTATTTCGTAGAAGCCCTCGATGTTTCTTGAACATAAATTTATTTTAGCTTGAATTACTATTTCTTGAGCCTCCTTAATCTAAGGTGGAAGAAACAAAACAGATTAGTCAGGTCTTATTGCCTATAAGAATGTGTCTCATAGTTAACCTACTGCTTCTAGTAATAAGGATGACATTTTAGAGAAAATAGATTTACTTTTCTATCATTGTGTGTCATTGATATGAATTGATTCTGTTTGTTATTCAGTATGATCAATCAGTTAGTACTTCTTAATTATCAAGTCTGATTAAGTTTTTGCAAATATTTTAATGTGAATGGTATTCACTCATCATGTTTCTGATGTGATGTGGTGAATTATCAAATGTGTATTAATTGGTAAGTTTAAGTAAGTGAATTTATTAAGTATTACCTAAACCAATAATTAATATCCTTCTCCAGATTGGAAACAATGAATTATCTCTCGTTGGCTTAATATCTTTCAAAGATTCATTGTGTCAACCTGAGTCCTCCATGAAGGAGACACTAAAACAGATTTAGATTTACAGGAGATTTATTAAAAGGTAACACCTGTGAAAGATAGAGGAGGAAGCGGTATAAACAGGAAAAGCTTTCAAACAACAATGATAATCTGACGACAGTGAAAGAAGTCAGGGAGAAAGAAAGATCAGGAAGAACTATCCTCACAGTGCTGTGCAACACAGAGAAACTTTCAGTCATACTAATGGCAAGCTCTAGCCTAAAAATTGCCCCACAGGAGTCTTACCTTGAGCATAATGGCCAGACCCTGTCACTCCATGTACACTTGTGGTAGGCAGATAATGATCCCCCAAATATACTCACATCCTAATTCTCAAAACTTCTGAACATGTCATGTTACATAGTAAAGGAAAATTAAAATTGCTGTTGGAATTAAAGATTCTAATCAGGTGACCTAAAAATAGGCAGATTATTTTGTATTATCTGAGTGTTAACAATATAACCACAATAGTCCTTAAAAGGAGGCTCCAGAAAAATAGAAAACTCTCAAGTATAAGATCGTCAATACGTAGGAACAAGGAAATATTCTGTGGGCTGTTGTTCAGAATTAACTTTGGAAATTTTAAGCAGCAGGTTCATGTACATTATCTTGTTTCTACTCTCTCACCAAATTTTTCCCTTTTTTCCTTCTTTCTTTTTTTATATATATGACCCTTCACAAACACAAAAGAAATGATACTTCTGTGATATTCTGTTTACTATGGAAATGTCCTCCTCATTTTGATTAATGCTTCTAAATATGATGCAATAAAGTGACTCCATTTTTGATGTTAGATCAATGGCACGTTTCACACCCTACACTTTCTTCTTTTCCTCTTGCCTCATATATAGGAAATCCAAAAAGAAACATTGAACGTGCTTTCCTTGGCACCAGCAGGGAAGGTCAAACCATGTAAACTCAGGCAGTAGGCAAGAGAAACTCTTACCCAATCCTAACCCCTAAACACAATAAATACCAAAGCTACAAGCCCTTCCCATTGCCTAAGCCATTTAAGGCCAGCAATGGCTGCTTTCCTCTCCCAAGAAAACATATAGAAATGCCAAAACATAATTATTCAAACTCTTAAGTTAGTCTCCACCATCAACCAGGCATTGTCCAGTTACCCTGAGGCCACCTGAAAGAGGAAAAAAATGTAGAAACATTAATGTTCCCTTTTTTAAAAAAGTTTAAAAATGTTCACTTATTAAATATTCTTTGGGTTATATCATAGACAGGGCTCTCTATTTTTGAATGTCTACTTAATGCATCCTAGAATACAGTAATTACTTAGATTAGAAGGATTCAAAATCAGACAGGATCTAGTAAGTAACAGCATGAGAAACAGGTCATTAGAATTTCAGATGAAATGCTAGGAAAATATTTGACTTAGCACAAGATCTAATCTGGAATTTGTAAATACTGATGCTTTTAAAATTTGAGAGTATTATATCAATACAACTGTTAATATAAATTTAGTTAACCTAATTTGGAATAAGAAATACATCTCTACAAATTACCAATGGCAAAATCTTGGCAAATACTACGAGCATAGAAACATTTAGGAAAATAACAATGTTTTATTAATTATCTTCATTACTGATGCATACTCAATATGTTACACTGATTTTTAATGCTTTTTCTTCAGAGAGAAGAAAAAGAAGTATATTTCTCTCTAGCATGATGAACCAATATTTGCTAGATTTTGTTGTTGATGCATAAGAAAGCTATCACATACATGACTAGTTTTTAGAAATGCTGTGTAAATGATTGGATTGTTATTAATGTTGGAAATTCTCTACCAAGGTTCTTTTATGAATGAGTTGTACTTACTAAGAATAAGTTTCAGCAAGCTGACTTCTGACTCCTGGTTTCTGAAAGCTGCTTTGTTTTTGTTTTACTATCTTCGTCCTTGCAGCATTGGGCACTGATGTTTATTTTCTATAAACCTTCTTTCCTGCAACCTTGTGTCCCAAAGTGGATAACCTGACACAGTGGATGGTTGGCAATGCTGTTCTGAGAAACCATTAATACATGGGAGGAGCAATCAATAACTTAGTTATATATGGATAGAAGTGTTAGCCATATAATTATTTCTCAGACTCAAATTAAATGTTCATTCCTAAACCACCATGCACAAGACATTTAACAGAAAACATCAGTCAGTGTAAAAAGTCATCTGCCTGAAACAGTTATTACTATGGATTGAATGTGTCTTTCCAAAATTCATATGTTGAAACTCTAAAGTCCATTGTGATGATATCTGGAGATGGGGCCTTTGGAAGATAATTAGATTGTGATCATGGAGCTTCTTGATGGGATTGATATTATTATAAGTCGAGACAGGAGAGAGCTTGCTTCTTCTCTGCTGTCTGCCATGTGAAAATACAGTAAGAAGACAGCCATTAGAAAACTAGAAAGACCTTCACAAAATATTAAATCTGCTATAAGTTTTATTTTGGACTTCTAGCCTCTAAAATTATGAGAAATAAATGCTTGCTGTCTAAGCCATCAAGTATATGGTATATGTGTTATAACAGCCTGAAGTAAGACAATTATATCACCTATTTAAAAATTTTACAAAAATATATGACTATGTCAATAATTGCTAAGACCCCTTCAAGTGCCTTAGAAACAGCTCATAGAAGTGTGAGGCTTTGGAACTTAAATTCAAAATATTTCAATTGAAGTGAATTCTTTATTGATTTAAGAGTACATTTAAAAAGTCACTTCTTAGGTAATACTATTTATCTTATTCTTAATTTTCTCTTACAACATTCCATACTACATGTCCTCAGAAACATATGCAGTGACAAATATATTATTTACAGTAAAGGAACAGGCTGATTTCCAGTCTGTCTCTGGTATTCTTTTTTTTTCCAACATTTTTTAAAAACATTCAAACATATATGGAAGTTAATATACGATTATAATTGTATATATGTGACCACCTGTAGTTTATCATTATACTCATCACTTAGATTTATAATTAGCATTTTAGTAAACAATTTATCTCATCTCTTTATGCATCCATCAAATATAAGTATATTGGAAAGAAAAATTGAGATATTAGTATATTCTCTTGAAACACGTCACTAATTAGTTCACTATGTTTTGTAGTCTTTTTTTAAGACCAAATTTACTTAAGTTGGAATGAAGAAATTAACATTTCTATTGACAGGGTGTGACAATTACATACACTGAACTCAAACTATTATCAAAGTAAGAATGTTGTATCATCCTAAATAGTTCTCTCTTGTCCCTACTTAGTCAGTCTCCATCCTCAGTCAGTAAGGCTAACCATTTTCATTTTTTTGTGTGTGATTATTTTTCTGCTATGAATTAGTTTTACCTAATGGAAATGCAAATACACAATATGTACTTTTTGTTTGTGATTGCACTTAGCATATATTTTTGAAATTTATTTTTGTTGTTGCATGTATAATGAGCTCCTTTTAATTGCTCAGTAAAATTCCACTGTAAATACATATCACTGTTTACATATCAATTCTCTTGTTGATTGACAACATTATTTTTGCTTTGTGACTATTATGAGTAAAGCTACTATCAACATTTTTGTACAAGTTTTCACTTAACCATATATTTTCATTTATGTTAATTAAATACCTGCTAGCGGATTTGCTGGATCATAGGAAAAATGTATGTTTAGTTTTGTAATGAACTACTAGGCTAATTCTCAAACTATGTACATTTATCTTTCCAATAGCAATGTATAAGAATTGCTGTTGTTTCATATTCTCTCAACTATTTGTTATTATGAGTTTGTTAAAGGCCATAATAGGGTATAGAATTGCGTAACATGATAATGTAATGTGCAATCCCTGATGTCTAATAATGTTGAGTACTTTTTTATTTGAATAATAACCATTTAGATTTATTATAATTTGTTAGTTCAATTTTTGCCCATTGCATTGGGTTTTCTCTATATGACTTAATTATAAAAGTTTATAGACACTTTTATACATCCTGGATATTAATACTTTGTGATACATGTTTTGCAAATATTTTGCCTACCTACAACTCATGAAAATATTTTCCAATGTTTTCCACTACAAACTTTATACAATTATCTTTTATATTTAGACTCATGAACCATCTAAATAATTTTGTGCATTGTATGCAGTATCTGTCAAAAAATTTTGATGTTTGTTTAATTTCCTATGTGGAGGGATGTTCAGTTATTCCAGCAACATTTGTTGAAAAGACTTACTTTCCTTATGAAATATCTTAACTGCTTTGATTTAAAAAAAAAAGACAACTATTTAAGTATGCCTGTTTATTTGCTTTTTTCTGTTTCATTAATTCATTTATTTTTTCACCTCATATTAATTATTGCAGCATTGTAGTTATTTGTATATTTAGCTGCTGCAATCCCTCTAACATTTCTCTTTTCAAGCTTGCTTTGAACATTTTGAATAAATCATCCAGGAAAGAACACTGGTATTCAGCAGAGAAGTGCCAGGAAATATCAAAATCAAGAAAGGAGAGGGAAGTGAGGAGTCTGAATAGCTGGAATCTGCTGGGAGCCTGAGAAATTTCACAATGCGAAGAAAGGTTAAGTGAGAGAATCCCAGTGGTCCACATTTTCACGGTGGACTCCTGCAATCAGAGGCACCTGAGGTCCCCTCAACCTTCATGGGCCCTGAAACATAAAGAGTTGCCTAGAGACGGCATGACAGTTCTGCTCCAGAGAAGGAGCTAATGCTGGGTTCCCCACAATTTCCAAGTCCTAAGCAATTATAGCATGTTGCCATTTTGAGAGCCCAATCGCCAACTGACTGCTCCCCACCACGGGTTACAGCAATGCCTGCATCTCCATCTCCCTTGATTCCCACTGGTATGCCTTAATTGCAGACACTATCATGGCTAGCTACTGCTGACCAGGATGAAGTATGAGCAAAATAACAGGCTACTGCTGCCAGGGCCAGAGGGCAAGTGAAGTATCAGCTGTCACTGCCAATGCTAAAGCATGAACCACACATGAGCTCCTGATGCCAGGGCTGAAACATGAGCAAAGCACACGTTCCTCATTTGCTTGCATATGGTTCCTGCCACTGAATGCAATAATGCTGATATAGTTTGAACTCGTGTCCCCCCAAAATCTCATGTTGAATGTAACCTTCAATGATGGAGGTGGGGCTTGGTGGGAGGTGATTGGATCATGGGGGTTGTTTCTAATGGTTTAACACCATCCCCCAAGTGTTTTTCTCATGATAGAGGTCTCATGAGATCAGCTTATTTAAAAGTGTGTGACACCCAACCTTTCATTCTTCCTCCTACTCCAGCTACTGACTCTCCCTTTGCCTTCTGCCATGATTGTAAGTTTCCTGAAGGCTCCTCATAACCCATCATGCTTCCTGTATGGCTTGCAGAACCACGAGCCAACTAAACCTCTTTATTTTACAAGCTACACAGTCTGAAGTGTTTCTTTATAGCAGTGCAAGAGTTGACTAATACAGAAAATTGGTACCAAGGACTGGAGGTTGCTAAGATGTGGCAACACCTTTGGAGTTGGCATATAAAACTCATTTCAGGGACCTGAGGCTGGGCTAACTGATACTGCTGCTACAACCACATCTGGCACCTACCTAGATGTACTATTTTTTGGGCGAAACCTCTTTTCTCTTTTTTTTTTTTTTTTTTGACAGACAGAGTATCGCTCTGTCGCCAAGTTGGAGTTCAGTGGCACGATCTCAGCTCACTGCAACCTCTGCCTCCCATGTTCAAGCGATTCTCCTGCCTTAGCCTCCCGAGTAGCTAGGACTACAGGCTTGCGCCACCACGCCCGGGTAATTTTTGTATTTTTCAGTAGAGATGGGGTTTCACCATGTTGGCCAGGGTGATCTCGAAATCTTGACCTCGTGATCCGCCCACCTCAGCCTCCCAAAATGCTGGGATTACAGGCGTGAGCCACTGTGCCCAGCCCTAAACCTCGTGGTTTTTTTTTTTTGTTTTTTTTTACAAGCTACATATTCTCAGGTATTTCTTTATAGCAGTGCAAGAGTTGATTAATACAAAATTGATACCAAGGACTGGAGATTGCTAAGATGTGGCAATACCTTTGGAGTTGGCATATAGGAACTCATTTCAGGGACCTGAGGCTGGGCCAACTGACACTGCTGCTATAACCACATCTGGCACCTACCTAGATGTACAATTTGGGCCTGGGCCTGGAGACTACCTTGCCCAGCCCATCATAGACACTACCAACATGAATGTGCACCTCTCGGGACCCAGAGAGTTACCTGTCACTACTACTGCCAAAACCCAAACCCCTTCTGTTGCCCAGAAGCTTGAGAACTCAGCCACCTGGAGGGCCCACCAATGTACTACCAAGAATCAGCTGGAGGCACAATAATTAACCTGTCTGAATCTGCTAACACTGTTGCCAGTGTACACCACCCTGGGACCCAAGGGCAGGCACATTCACCCCACTGGTGCCACCACGGTAGTTCAGTTACTGACTCACCTTGTGTCTCAGTTCCCAGTAAAACTTCACCACAGCCTTCATTAATGATGATGCCATAAGCCATCAAGGAAATTTCAGTCACCAAAGATGCTGTTTACAGCTGGAGAAATTATATTGAGACTACATTACTGCACACACACACAATCAAAGTGAAGTGCCCTAATCAACCAACTGCATATATTCAACTTGAGGAAAAAGTTTTTCCCTACAACATCGAATTCATAAATTGGAAGAAGCAACTGTTACAACAGGTGCACAGATATCAATGTAAGGACAAGAAAACACGAAAAATCAAATTTGTCATCTCCAGAACACAAAATTCTTCAGAAATAGATCCCAATCAGAAAGAAATTTATAAAATCCTAGAAAAAATAATTCAAAATATTGACTTTAAAGATCAGTGAGATACAAGAGAATACTGAAAAATACTACAAAGAATTCAAGAGGACAATTCAGGATATATATGACAACTGTACCAATGGGAGAGATTTAATAGTAAAGAACTAAAGAGAAATTCTGAAACAAAACAAGTCATTGAATAAAATTAAAAATATACGTGAAACCTCCAATTATAGAGTAGATCAAGCACAAGAAATAATCTCAGAACTTGAAGACAGGGGTTTTGAAACAATTCAGACAGACAAAAATGAGGGGGAAAAATAAGCAAATCCTATGTGACATATAGTACAGATAAGGTGACCAAATATTTGAGTTTTCTGAGTCCCAAAAGGCCGAGAGAAAGTAAAATGATTCAAAACCATCTATTTAATGAAATAATAGAGGAATTTTCGAAGTTTAGCAAAAGATTTAGATGTTCAGCTATACGAAGCTCAGACATTTTCATGCAAATACAATGCAAAAAGGTCTTCTCCATGACACTTTTTAATTAAGATGTCAAAGGTAAAAGACAAAGAGAGAAATCTAAAAAGGACAAAAGCAAATGGCTAGTCACTTATAAAGAAATCCCCATCAAATTAACAGAATTTCTCAGCAGAAACCTTATAGGCCAGGAGACAATAGGATGTCATATTCAAAGTGCTAGAAGAAAGAAACAAACAACAACAACAAACACTGCCAGCTATACCCACGTAAGTTATCTTTTGTAAGTGAAGTGTAAATGAAGTCTTTCCAAGACAGGCAAAAGCTGAGAAAAATTATTGCTGCTAGACTGACCCTAAAATAAATGCTTAAGAAAGTTCTACATCCAGAAGTGAGAGAACAAGATCTACCACGATGAAATATTTGAAAATATAAGAACCACAGGTAGAGGGAACATACAAAGAAAAGACTCAAAAGTTAACAATACAGTAAACCACAACACTAAAATGATACACAATAAGAGAGAAAGAAAAGAACAAAGGATGTACAAAAGAGCAGAAATCAATTAATAAAACGACAGGAGTAAACCCCCATATGTTAATAGTAACCTTAAATATAATGAATTAAACTTTCCACTTAAAAGATATAAATAGGCCAAATGGATAAAACTACATAATTCAACTATATGCTGCCTACAGTAAACTCATCTCACCTGTAAGGACAAATAAAGGCTGAAAGTGAAAGAAAGAAAAGCAATAGTTCATGCAAATGGAAACCAATAGTGATCAGAAGTAGCTATACTTGTATTGGACAAAACACGCTTTAAGTCAAACACTCTAAAAAGAGACAAAGAAGGTAATTTTGTAATGATAGAAGAAACAATTCAGCAAGAGGTTATAACAATTCTAAACATGTATGTATCCAACAACAGAGCAACCAGATGTGTAAACCTACATCTAATATTATATTGAATTTTGTTGCACTGTAGGTGTTAAATATTGCAGTTTAGAATTGTGCTGCATATTCTCATCTTTACAATAAAAAATATGTGAGCTTCAATACAATAATAGTAGGGTATTCAACACCCCACTGTTAGCATTAAGCAAATCATATAGACAGAAAATTAATAAGAAAACATTGGATTTAAACTGCATATTTGACTCAATGGACCTAATAGACTTGTTCAGAATATTTAATTCAATATCTACAGAAAATACATTTTTTCTCATAAGCAAATAGAATATTCTTCAGTATATATCTAAGGCTAAAACTGAAGTCTCAACAAATTTTTTAGAAATTATAAATTATATCAAGTATCTTTTGCAATCACAGTGGAATACAACTAGAAACCAATGGCGAGAGAAAACTCAGAAAATACACAAACACATGAAAGTTAAACAACACGTTCCTGAATGAGCATCATATCAATATGATAATTAAGAAGAAAATAAAAATATTCTTTGAAACAAATGAAAATTAAAACACAGCATACTAAAATAAGTGAGATTCAGCAAAAGCAGTGCTAAGAGGGAAGGTGATAGCAGTAAGTACCTACATCATAAAAGTAGAAGGATTTCAAATAAACAATATAATCATGGACTTTAACAAAGTATAAAAGCAAAAACAAAGAAAATACCAAAGTATTAAAAGAAAAAAAATGAAGATCACAGCAGAGCTAAATGAAATAAAGTCAAAAAATAATGTAAAGTATTAACAAAAGAAAAACTGGGGTTTTCTTGAAAACATAAACAAAATCAATAAACCACTTACTACATTAAACAAAGAAAAAGAGAGAAATCCCAAATAAACAATATTAGAAATGAAAAGAAGCCATTAAATACAAAAGATCATTAGAGACTATTATGAACAACTCTATACCAACAAACTAACAAACCTAAAAAAAAAATGGATAAATTCCTGAACACATACACTCTACCAAGATTGATTCAGAAGGTATAGAACAGACCAGTAACAAATAATGAGTAATAAAAAAGGCTCTCAACAAATAAAAGTTTAGGACTGAATGGCTTCACTGTTGAAATCTTCAAAACATTCAAATCTGCTAACACTGTTGCCAGTGTACACCACCCTGGGACCCCAGAACTAACACCAATTCTCCTTAAAGTATTTTAAAAAGTTGAAGAGTAAAAAATTTTCTGTAATTCATTCTGCAAGGCCATTTTACTCTGACACCAAAATCAGAGAAGGATGCAACAACAACAAAGAAAAAATTACCAGGAAATATTCCTGAAGAACATAGATGCAAAAATCCTCAATAAAATATGATCATGTCATCTGCAAACAGAGACAATTTGACTTCCTCTCTTTCTATTTGAATACGCTTTATTTCTTTCTCTTTCCTGATTGCTCTGGCCAGAACTTCCAATACTATGTTGAATAGGAGTGGTGAGAGAGGGCATCCTTGTCTTGTGTTGGTTTTCAAAGGGAATGATTCTAGCTTTTGACCATTCAGTAAGACATTGGCTGTGAGTTTGTCAAAAATAGCTCTTCTTATTTTAAGATATGTTCCATCAGTACCATGTTTATAGAGTTTTTTGCATGAAGGGGTGTTGAATTTTATCAAAGGCCTCTTCTGCATCTATGGAGATAATTATGTGGTTTTTGTAATTGGTTCCGTTTATGTGATGGATTACGGTTATTGATTTGCTTATGTTGAACCAGCCTTGCATCTCAGGGATGAAGCCAACTTGATTGTGGTGAATAAGCTTTTTGATGTGCTGCTGGATTTGGTTTGCCAGTGTTTTTATTGAGGATTTTCTCAGGTATGTTCATCAGGGATACTAGTCTGAAATTTTCTTTTTTTGTTGTGTCTCTCCCAGGTTTTTGTATTAGGATGATGCTGGCCTCATAGAATGAGTTAGGGGGAGTCACTGTTTTTCTAATGTTTGCAATAGTTTCAGAAGGTATGGTACCAGCTCCTCTTTGTACCTCTGGTGAATCTGTCTCGTCCTGGGCTTTTTTTGGTTGGTAGGCTATTAATTACTGCCTCGATTTCAGAACTTATGATTGGTCTATTCAGGGATTCAACTTCTTCCTGGTTTAGTCTTGGGAGGGTGTATGTGTCCAAGAATTTATCCATTTCTTCTTGAATTTCTAGTTGATTTATGTAGAGGTGTTTATAGTATTCTCTGATGTTAGTTTGTATTTCTGTGAGATCAGTGGTGATATCCCCTTTATCATAATTTATTGTCTCTTTTTGATTCTTCTATATTTTCTTCTTTATTAGTCTGGTTAGCAGTCTATTTTGTTAATCCTCTCAAAAAACCAGCTTCTGGATTCATTGATTTTTGAAGGGTTTTTTCTGTCTCTATCTCCTTCAGTCTGCTCTGATCTTAGTTATTTCTTGTCTTCTGCTAGCTTTTGAATTTGTTTGCTCTTGCTTTTCTAGTTCTTTTAATTGTGATGTTGGGGTGTTGATTTTAGATATTTCCCACTTTCTCCTGTGGGTATTTAGTGCAATATCATGAAAATGGCCATACTGCCCAAAGTAATATATAGATTCAATGCTCACCCCATCAAGCTACCATTGACTTTCTTCACAGAATTAGAAAAAAAACTACTTTAAATTTCATATGGAACCAAAAGAACCTGTATAGCCAAGACAATCCTAAGCAAAAAGAGCAAAGCTGGAGGCATCACGCTACCTAACTGCAAACTATACTACAAGGCTACAGTAACCAAAACAGCATGGTACTGGTACCAAAACAGATGTATAGACCAATGGAACAGAACAGAGGCCTCAGAAATAATGCCACACATCTACAACCATCTGATCTTAGAAAAACCTGACAAAAACAAGTAATGGGGAAAGGATTCTCTATTTAATAAATGGTGTTGGGAAAACTGGATAGCCAAATGCAGAAAACTGAAACTGGATCCCTTGCTTACACCTTATACAAAAATCAACTCAAGATGGATTAAAGACTTAAACATAATACCTAAAACCATAAAATCCTTAGAAGAAAACCTAGGCAATACCATTCAGGACATAGGCATGGACAAAGACTTCATGACTAAAACACCAAAAGTAATGGCAACAAAAGCCAAAATTGACAAATGGGATCTAATTAAATTAAAGAGCTTCTGCACAGCCAAAGAGACTCATCAGAGTGAACAGGCAACCTACAGAATGGGAGAAGATTTTTGCAATCTATCCATCTGACAAAGGGCTAATATCCAGAATGTACAAGGAACTTAAACAAATTTACAAGAAAAAAACACAACCCTATCAAAAATTGGGTGAAGGATATGAACAGTCACTTCTGAAAAGAAGACATTTATGTGGCCACAAACATATGAAAGAAAGATGGTCATTAGAGAAATGCAAATCAAAACCACAGTGAGGTACTATCTCACACCAATTAGAATGGCGATCATTAAAAAGTCAGAAAACAACAGATGCTGAAGAGGATGTGGAGAACTAAGAATGCTTTACACTGTTGGTGGGAGTGTAAACTAGTTCAACCATGGTGGAAGACAGTGTGACAATTCCTCAAGGATCTAGAACCAGAAATACCATTTGACCCAGCAATCCCATTACTGGGTATATACCCAAATGATTATAAATCATTCTACTAAAAAGACACATGGACATGTACATTTATTGCAATACTGTTCACAATAGCAAAGACTTGGAACCAACCCAAATGCCCATCAATGCTAGACTGGATAAAGAATACGTGGCACATATACACCATGGAATACTATGCAGCCATAAAAAAAGATGAGCTCATGTCCTTTGCAGAGACATGGATGAAGCTGGAAATCATCATTCTCAGCAAACTAACACAAGAACAGTAAACCAAACACCGCATGTTCTTACTCATAAGTGGGAGTTGAACCATGAGAACACATGGACACAGAGAGGGGAACATCACACACAGGAGCCTGTTGAGGGGTTGGGAGGCTGGGGAGGGATAACATTAGGAGAAATACCTAATGTAGATGATGGGTTGATGGGTGCAGGAAACCACCATGACAAGTGTATACCTATGTAACAAACAAACCTGCATGTTCTGCACATGTATCCCAGAACTCACAGTATAATAATAATAATAAAAACAAGAGAAAAAAAGTAATATCCCCTGATTAAGTAGGATTTATCCCAGATATGCAAGGATTCCATCAACATACATATCAATAAACATGATACATTACATCAGTAGAGTGAAGAACAAATAGATGCAGAGAAAGCATTTGATAAAATTCAACATCTCTTCAAGATAACAACTCTCAACAAACTAGGCAAAGAAGAAATGTACATTAACATAACAAAGGCCCCATATGACAAACAGACAGCAAAACATATACTGAATGGACTTAATGGAAAGACGCTGGAAGACTTTCCTCTAAAAACTGAACCAAGACACAGATGTCCACTTTCACCACTTCTATTCAACAAAGTACTGAACATCCAGAGCAATCAGGCAAGAGAAAAAAATAAAAGGCATGAAAATTGGAAAATAGGAAGTCACATTAACCCAATTTGCTGATGATATGATCTTATATCTAGAAAATCTATAAATATCTCCACAAAACTCTTAGATACGATTAATAAATTCAGTAAAGTTGCAGGATACAAAACCAATATACAACAGTTAGCTGTATTTCTATATACCAACAATGAATTAACCAATAAAGAAATCAAGAAGGCAATCCAATTTACATTAATCTACAAGCAAAATAAAATACCTAGGAATAAATTTAACCAAGAAGGTGAAAAATCTCTGCAAGGAAAACTGCAAAGTACTGATGAAAGGAATTGAAGAGGCGCAAACAAAAGAAAAGACTTACTATGCTCATGGATTTAAAAATTTATAATGTTGGGCACAGTAGCCCATGCCTGTAATACCAAACTTTGGGAGGCTAAGGAAGGAGGATTGCTTTAGCCAAAAATTCACAACCAGCCTGGGCAACATACTGAGATTCCATCTTTACAAAAAATAAAGTTAAAAAATGAGACAGGTGTGGTGGTGCATACCTGTAGTCTTAGTTACTCAGGAGGTTGGTTGAGAGGATCTCTTGACCCCAGGAGATCAAAGATGCAGAGAGTCATGATAATGACACTGCACTCTATCCTAAGTGACAGAGTGAGACCTTCTCTCAGAAAACAAATGAAAAACTAATATCGTTAAAATGACCATACAGAACAAAACAACCTACAGATTCAATGCAACTGATATCAAAATATCAATGTTATTTTACACAGAATTAGAAAAAACAATCCTAAAATTTATATGGAACTAAAAAAGAGCCAAAATAGCCAAAGCAATCTTAAGCAAAAATAACAAAGCTGGAGGCATCGCACTGCCTGACTTCAAAGCATACCATGACCAAAACAGCATGGTACTGGTATTATAGTAGATAAATACGTCAATGGAGCAGAGAACACAGAAATAAAGCCACTTAACTACAGTCAACTCATCTTTGACAAAGTCAACAAAAGTGGATTATATTGTTTAGCTCAGTGTCCCCACCCAAATCTCATATTGAATTGTAATCCCCATGTTTTGGAGGACGGACCTTGTGGGAGGTTATTGAATCATGAGGGAGGACTTTGCTCTTGTTGTTCTCGTGATAGAGAGTGGGTTCTCATGAGATCTGGTTGTTTGAAAGCATGTGGTACTTCCCTCTCGCTCTCTCTCTCTCTCCTTCCACCATGTGAAAAAGGTGCTTGCTTTTCCTTCCCCTTCGGTGATGATTGTGTCTCTACACAAATCTCATCTTGAATTGTAGTCTCCAATGTTGGAGTTGGAGCCTAATGGGAGGTTATTAAGTCATGGGAGCAGATTTCTCATGAATGGTTTACCACCATCCCTTTGGTACTGAACTCATGAGAGTGAGTGAGTTCTCATGAGATCTGGTCATTTAGAAGTATGTGGCACCTTCCTTCCTCCTCTTGCTCCTGCTCTTGCCATGTGATGTGCCTCCTCCCCCTTCAGCTTTCACCATGATTGTAAGTTTCCTGAGGCCTCCTTACAAGCCCAGTAGATGCCAGCATCATGCTTCCTGTACAAACTGCAGAACTGTGAGCCAATCGAACCTCTTTTCTTTATAAATTACCTAGTCTCAGCTACTTCTTTATAGCAGTGTGAGAATGGCCTAATAGAGATGGATTGGACTTAAACGTAAGACCTGAGACAATAAAATTTATTAGAAGAAAATATAGGGAAAACACTTCAGGAAATTGGTCTAAGCAAAGAATTAATGACCAAGATGCCAAAAGCACATGAATAGACATTTCTCAGATGAAGACATACAAAGGCTAATGAGTATATGAAAAAATGTCAATTGGGACTGTATTAAACCAAAAAGCATCTGCCCAGCAAAGACCACAACAAAAAAAGTGAAGATGCAACCTGTTGCATGGAAGAAAATATTTGCAAACTATTAGTCCAATACAAAACTAATATTCATAATTTATAAGGAACTCAATTAACTCAACAGTAATTTTTAAAAATCTCATTAAAAAGTAAAAAAATGGGCAAAGGACATGAATAGAAATTTCTCAGAAACAGACATACAAAGGCTAATGAGTATATGAAAAAGATGTCAAATGGGACTGTATTAAACCAAAAAGCATCTGCTCAGCAAAGAACAAAACCAAAAGAGTGAAGAGACAACCTGTTGCAGGGAAGAAAATATTTGCCAACTACTAATCCAACATAAAACTAATATTCATAATTTATAAGAAACTCAACAACAATTTTTAAAAAATCTCACTAAAAAGTAAAAAGTGGGCAAAGGACATGAATAGACATTTATCATAAACAGACATACAAAGAGGATAACGAGTATATGAAAAAATGTTCAACATTGTCAAGCATCATAAAACAAAACAAAACCACAGTGAGATAACATCTTTCTCTATCAGAATGGTTATTATTAAAAAGATGAAAAATAACAGACACTGACACGGATGCAGAGAAAAGGAAATGCTTTTACATTGTTGGTGGTAATGTAACTTAGTATAGTCACTACGGAGAACGCATGGAGATTCCTCAAAAACTAAAAATTGAACTATTATACAATCTAGCAATCTCATTGCTAGTTGTTTGTGAAAGAAAGAAAAAGAGAGAAAGAGAAAGAACAAAAGAAAGAAGAAAGGAAGGAAGGAAGGACAGAGAGAAAGAAAGAAGAAAGAACTAATGAAGGAAAGAAGAGAAAGAAAGAAAGAAAGAGAAAGAAAAGAAAAGAAAAAAGAGAAAGAAAGAGGGAGGGAGAAAGAAAGAGGGAGGGAGGAAGGAAGGAAGGAATCAGTATTTCAAATAGTTACCTTCATTGCATGTTTGTTTCAGCACTATTCACAATAGGATAGATATGTAATTAACTTAAGTGTTCATCATCAGACTACTAGACAAAGAAAATGTGGTATATATACACAATGGAATCCTATTTAACCATAAAAAGTGAAATCATGCCATTCTGAGCAACATATATGGAACTGGAGGTCATTATATGAAGTGAAAATAGCCAGGCACAAAAACAAATATTGCAATGTTTTCACTTCTAGGTAGGATCTAAAAAAGTTGATCTCATGGAGATTTAAAAAAAAATAGAATAAAAAATACCAGAGGTTGGGAAAGGTGGTGAGTGGGAGAAGGCATGAAGAGAGAATGACTAATTTGAAAAAAATACAAACATTAGAACTTGTGTCTTCTAATGGCTGGGACCACAGTAGGGTGATTACAGTTGGCAACAATATATTATATGTTTCTAAGTAGCTAAAAGAGGGGACTTGAAATGTTTCCAACTCATAGAAATGATAAACACTCAAGGTGATGGAAACCTCAAATACTCTGACTTGCTCATTACACACATGATTAGGCAACAAATACTCATATGTAACCCATAAATACGTACAACATTACGTATCAATTTAAAAAATTATTGGTCACAATTATGTCATACCCTGGTCCCAGCAATGAAGATACAGCGGGGAAGCTAAATAGTCTAGATCCCTTCCCTCTGGGAATTACAGTTTAATAGAGAAAAGAAGCATTTCCCAAATAAAGACATAGCCAACTAATGACTTATAACTGTGAGGTATCATTCATACTGTGATAGAATGAAATATATTATAAAATAAAAATACAAAGATTACTTTGAATACTCTAGATCCTTTAAATTTTTATATCTGTTTTAAGAGTTGTCCATTTTTATAAAAAGCAGTCTTGGATTGTGATTGGGATCGCATTGAATCCATAAATAAATTAAAACTAGTGAACCTCATGATCCAGAAAAAATGGCATGTTTCTCATTCTATTTCCATGTTACTTGGTTTCTTCTAAGCAGTGTTTTTCAGTGTGAAGGTCTTGCATGTAATGATGAATTTATTCCATGTTAACAGTTTTAAAAGTACCGTATTATATTTTTAAGTTAGTTTTCCAAATTTTGTGTTTTAATGTACAAATTGCTATTTATTTTCGTATATTTATCTTACATCTGTCACCTTAATAATTCACTCATAAGCTCTATTAGTATTTTGTGAATTCCAGAAGATTTTAATTTTGGCATCTGCAAATTTAGATATTTTTGCATAATCCTTCCTGATTTTTATATTTTAATCTTTTTTTTTTTGCTTTATTGCAAAAAAGAAAACTCCTAGAACAATTCTGGGCTGCAACATTTAACTCCCACAGTGCAACAAAATTAAGTATGACTAGATATAGGCTTGTCATATTTTTGCATTGTCTGTTTAAGAACATTTTCTTATATATCTAGTTGACAAATAACTTGTATTATAAATAGATTTTGATCATTATAAAATGTTTTCTGCATTTATCGAGCATCTGATTTTTAAAAATTCTGTTAGTATGGTGAATCACTGTGATTGATTTCTGAATGTTATAGAAACTTTGCATTCTTGGAATAAATAAAATTTTGCAATGAAATATTCTTATGTAGTGGTGCAATCAGTTTGCTAATATACTTACAACATTTTGTTTCTGTGTTCATGAGGGAAATTTTAAATTTTATCTTACTTTGTTTAATTTATGTTTTTGGTAATAGCTAAACCTATTTTCTTCTCATATTTTCAGAAAGATACTTTTTTAGATTTGTTCTATTTCTTTCTTGTTTAATAGAATTTCCTAATAAAACTATCTGAGCTTTAGGTTTTTTTATAGGAATGTTTTCATAATTGATTCAAATTTTAAATAGATGTAAGGACAATTTTTTCTGCTTCATCTTGTGTCTGATTCAGTAAGTTGTACTTTTTAAGGATTTTTCTCCATTTAAGTTGTCAAATTTATTGGTTTTAAGTTGTAACTATTATTTCCTTATGATCGTTTTATTTTCCATACTATCTCTAATGATGATTCCTCTTTACACCTCTTGATATCAGTAGTCTGTTTTATTTTTCACTTTTTAATTTCTTCTCCCCTAATCTAGCAAGGTGTTTATCAATACTGTTGATTTTTTTCACAGTACCAATTTTTGGACTTTGCTAATATTTTTACTGTTTTTTACTTTATTAATTTCTGTTTTATCTTTGTTATTTTTTTCCTAATGCTTACATTTGGCATATTTTGATATTGTTTTTAAAATCTAAATGCAGAATTTTAGTTTATTGTGTATCTGTCTGTTCCAGCACAAGCATTTAAAGCTATACATTTCCTCAAATCATTGCTTTCACTGCATTCCACAGGTTTTGATATATTTTATATTCATTGTTTTCAGTTTAAAATCTATAATTTTATTTGTAATTAATTAGTTGATTCATGATTTATTTGGAAATTTGTTGTTTATCAAATACAGGGAGGCTCTCTACATATGTTTGTAAATTTTAATTTAAATCTATTTAGATGAGAGAATATACTCTGCGTGATTTCAAAGATTTTACATTTAATATATTTTTTAAGGACCACTATATAATGTATATGTGAACATACTGTTTACATTTCAAAATAATATGTACTCTGGCGTTGCTGGGTAAATATAGAGCTGTATGATTATCATGTAGGTCAAGGTAGCTGGCTTTACTAATATTTCATCAGATTATTTTAACAATTGTAGTGAAACAGTGTAAAATTCTATTATTGGTAAAATTTCTCTCCATATGAATTCCACATTTTTGCTTCATATTTCTTGAAACTCTTTTATTAGACCAAACAGTTTTTTGCTTTTTTTGTCACTGTGATTAATTGATCTTTTCAATTTTTGAGAAATGGCCATCTTTTTCTTTAGTAATACATTTTTTCTCAAAGTCTATATTATCTGATATTAATGTGCCACTCTATCATTTGATTATTGACCTTTGCATTGTAAAACATTTTCAAGCACATATTTTCAAATGACAATATTATTATTGTTATATTACACATCTTTTAGATAGCATTGAGGTTGACCTTTGCTTTTCTTTTAAACTTATGTTGACAAACTCTATCTTTAGGTGGAATGTTTTGTCCAGTGATATTTACTGTACTCAGTTGTGATTATTAATTTATGTAATCATTTGGCTAAGTTATGGCACCCAGTTATTGAATTAAACACTAATCTAAGTGTTGCAGTGAAGGTATTTTTAGATGTGTTTAACACCAACTATGATTTGACTTAAGAAAGAGTTTAGGGTTGAAATTATGGTTAGGCTCATTCAATCAGTTGAAGTCCTTAAGAACAAAAACTGAAATTTTGTTGAGAAGAAATTCTGCCTTAAAATAGCATCTCTTGGGAGGTCGAGGCAGGCAGATCACGAGGTCAGGAGTTCGAGACCAGGCTGACCAACACGGTGAAACTCCATCTCTACTAAAAATACAAAAAATAGCCCAGTGTGTTGGTGCACATCTGTAATCCCAGCTGCTCAGGAGGCTGAGGCAGGAGAATCGCTTGAACCCAGGAGGCAGAGGTTGCAGTGAGCCGAGATCGTGCCACTGCACTCCAGCCTAGGCAACAGAGTGAGACTCTGTGTCAAAAAAAAAAAAAAAAAAAAAAAAGGCATCTCAACTTTTACCAGTTTCCAGCCCATGGGCCTACCCAAAGGATTTTGTACTTGCCAGCCCCCATAATTGCATGACCAATATTTTAAAATAAATTACTTTATCTGTATCTATTAACATCATTATACAAGTATAGAAATCTATAAGTAGATGCAAATACATGTATATTCTATTTGGTTCTGTTTCTCGAAAGAACTATATTTATACGATTAGATTAAGATTTACCATTTTATTACTGGTTTTCTTTTTTACCCTTTAAAATTGTCCTTTTTTTGAACCTTAGATTATTCAAATAATTTCTAGAATTTAATATAATTTGTACATGGAGTATTTAGCTACAAGTTTTGGAAAATTATTTACTGGTTTCTCTGGGAACATATATTTTATTAATATTTGCAGCTTATTTATAATGAATGTTCTATTATTTCATATAAAATTTGGAACTTTGCCTGTATATAGGCCTAGTTACAGTCATACCATGTTATAATTTTTATATGTAGCATATGTAATAATTATATTCCTTACAATTTTACAGTGTAATTTTTGCTTTACTTCAAAATTCAAATGTATTTTTAAAGAAATTAAGATGGAAAATAGTATTTTATATTTACTCAGATTTTTATGTCACGCTCAATGTCTTTATTTCTTAATAATTATGCTTAGCATTCCATTATTGGAACACAGTCTTCTGGTATCCATATTTTCTAATAAGCATTGGACATTCATTGGATTTGTTTCCCCTATATAACATGTCATCTTTTCTCGGTTGGATTTCAAAATATTCTTACTGTCTTATTTTCAGCAGTTTGACTATGGCATATATTATCCTTCTCATAATTTTCTGGTCTTTTAGAATGTGTAAACATCTACCTTTCTCCATATTGGGGAAATTTTGAGCTGCGATATCTTCAAACATATGTTATTATTTTCCAGTCTCTCTGATCTCTCCTTCTGGCACTCCAATTACAGATATGTGAGAACTTTTGATATTGTCTCACAGATCCCTGAGGTTCTATTCATTATTTTTAATCTTTTTATCTCCTGTAGAGAAAATGGTGAGGCATTCTCAGTGGATGAAGCAGTTTGTAACAAATAAGGCACAGAAACACACAAATGAAGATTGCGTGTCAAGGGTACATAAAATAAATAAGCCTCTATGCCTAGTGCGTAGGCTGTATGAACTAGGCTTAGAGGCTTATTTATTTTAAATTAGAGTAACAGGAGTGGAAGCCAAAGAGGTGGGAAAGGACTGGGTCACTAATGGTCTTCATGCCAGAATAAAATTTTTATAAGAGTCACTGAATCATTACAGGCAGAGCATTTCCAAGTTCAATTATCTCGATCCAAGTCTATTTCTTACTCTTTTGCTTCAGTATTCTCCAAAGCTCTTTTTGCCAGAGTCATTTTAATGTGTAAAAGTCTTTATAATTCTTGCTAACCTTTTGTATATATGCTTGTTGATTCATAAAATGACACTGAAAACCATCATTTGCAACACTTCCAGATTATAGTTTCATAACTATCTTTACTACTTGGCATATATTGTTTTTGTTAAGTGAATTTCCCCCAAATTCCATGATGCCTAACTTAAAATACAGTATCCTTAAATATTATTATTATTTTCTATTTTCATTTTTATTTTTTAAGGGGGTATTTTACTCTTGTTACCCAGGCTGGAGTACAGTGAAGCAATCTTGGCTCACTGCAACCTCCACCTCCAAGGTTCAAGCCATTCTCCTGCCTCAGCCTCCCACGTAGCTGGGATTACACGTATGCAATCACCACATCCGGCTAATTTTGTATTTTTGGTAGAGACAGGGTTTCACCTTTGTGCCAGGCTGGTCTCAAACTCCTGATCTCAGGTGATCCACCCACCTTGGCCTCTCAAAGTGCTGGGATTACAGGTGTGAGCCACCATGCCCAGCTCATCCTTTAATATTAATTCAATTTTTAAAAATTTTCCATATGTTTGGTCAATTTCTTTAGAAGCAGGTATTGAGTCAGTGAGTAAGGGATTTCGTGAAGGGGCGCTGTCAAAAGAAAGGGGATGAGGGAAGCAGGAGAGGGCAAGGAGCAGATTTAAGCAATATGGGACCTCAGCTAGTGTCTTATCCCATTGGCAACTCTTGAGCTTTACTTGCACCACAAGTTTGGCCATATCTTCAGATAAGGAGGTTGGAAATTTTACTTTATCATACTCAGTTATTGACTATGGGCTGCTAAAATGTCTGGAATAGGAAACGAATGTCAGCTGTGTACACTCACTGCATCTGCGAAGTGGATATACTCTTTTGCTAGTAGAAATCTAAGCTAGAAAACAACCTGTGTCTTATACTCTCTAATATATCCTGAAAAGCAAATTACTGAAAATTATATAATAGCCTCATTTTATTATGTTACAATCTCTATTTTTATCAGATATATTCTTAGATTGAGAAAGTTCTTTTTTAAAAATAATATTCCTGACCATATGATCCAGCAATAGCATGCCTTACTTGTTACCCAAATAAGTTGAAAAGAGACCATAAATGCATATTACTAAGTGAAATAAGACAATTTGAAAGGATATATTCTGTATTATTCCAGCTACTGGCAAAACTATAGATATTAAAAGGATCAGTGTTTTCCAGAGGTTAAGGAAGAGGGAGAAACGAACATTTGAACCACAGAAGATTTTTAGGGCACCTTAATGATAGATACACCACTAAGAGTGAATCCTAGTGCAAACTATGGGCATTGGCTGAAAATTATATATACATGTATTTTCATAGATTGTAACAATGGTACCACTCTGGTACCACTATGTTGATAGTTGGCAAAGCTGTGCATATGTGGTGGCAGGGAGTATTTGGGAAATATCTATATCTTCTACTCAATTTTAGTGTGAATAATCTAAAACTGCTCTAAAAATACAGTCTATTTAAAAGCAATAAATAAAAATAAATAAAAATCAAAATTTTCCTAAGATAAAAATCAACTCTAGAATTTCTGTATAATAGTGCCACTTGCCAAAGTCAAATTCTTATCTCTGCATCTTTCTATTCTTTCATTGAAAACAAGTTTACGCTGACAAATATTATAAAACAAAACACATTTGCAGATAATATATCTGTAGATTAATACCAAAAAGTTATTTTTTCCATATGGTATGACAAGCTCTAAACTTGTATTGATTCATTATGTGCTATACAAATCAGTTATGACAGATCTTCGATTTTATAGTTCCACTTGTGATTCCTACATTCCTATGGAAGACCTGGGGTTCTCCAAGACCTTGGATTTGATTTCAGTACAGCAATTCAGACAGGCAGTCTCAATTATGTTTGACTCAGATTTGAAACCTGTTTGACATCTATGCATAAGTAGTGAATCATTTTAACATGATTTAATTTCCTAAAGCTACTGCTTCGAAAATAGTTTAGATCTACTTTGCTGGAAAGTCAGCCCACAAGGAAAAAAAAAAAACCTAAAAATTTTAAAACAAAACAAAAATCCTATAAAAGTCTAATTATTTGGGTTCAACACAGATAAGGTATTGGTTGACAAATACATAAATTATTATTTTAGTAAGTCAGGTACAACACATTCTAAAAGGAAAAAAAAAAGTTGGGCCTCAAATACACATTTTTCCCAACTTTAAATGTTGTCCTAGGCAAGTTTTAAATGTGGAAATAAAATAAGCTGTCAAAATGTTCTGCAGAGAATCAGGTTACTGATATTTACACCATATGTAAGTGATATTTATACCACCATTTAACATTTACACCACGTTTTCCTGAAAGCAAGGAAACATGTCTGATTCAAGGGTACAATGAAGGAAGCAGTAAAGGGATACTCTAGTCATAATCCTGGAAGCAAAGGGGAGAAACACATATTCATCTGTGTAATTATATTATCTGACATGTATTCCTGAACTTGTCTTATGGATAGATTTTCAGCTGTAATGTGGGGCCGATGATGATAGTTATCACACGGAGTTGTTGTGAGCATTACATGGGTGAGCAGGGTGCTTGATACATAATAAATACTTAATAAATGTAACGTGCTAAACCTAAAGCCCAATATCCTTATCTCAGCTTATCAGAGATAACGAACTGATTTAATCCTTTTAGTGACTGTAATTCAATTCCCTGTTCAGTCTACATTGCATTAGTTGTCAACTCTCTAATATAAACTCATATTCCTCCCGCAGAAAAATCTAGAGAGACAGATTACATGTCTTTGCCTACTGAGTCAACAATATGTGCTTTATTTTACTCCACAGCATTTATGAACAGATATTTTATAATCTATAATATGGTTGTTATATATTTCTGATTTTCTAGATATTCTCAAATTTTAACAAGCCTCAGGGTTTTTTTGTCTTTTATGGAAAATTAAGAATTCTATAAATAAAATGTATATTTTTTCTAAGGCTATTTAACCAAATATACTCATAAAAATGTATTCAACAATTTTCACAAATTAATTTACTACTGTGATATATTAGTGCAAGCAACACAGAGGAATTTTACTTTACCTAGCAAGTTAAAGATGCATGTAATTCTCCTCAACATTTATCATTGTTCTCATTAAAGCACCCAGGTATATCTTTAAGAAAAATGTTCCAAATTATAGTAGTCTAGGCTTAGTCTAATAGAATCAAAGTTGTTTGTTCAAGTATTAACATGTGATCTTAATTAAGACAGCTAGAGTTAAGTCTAGCAGTTCTGCTCAAAGTATTCAGATGGAAATGTTCTCATTTAACTGAACGAAAAGATGGTAGGGTAAAAAGCTAGAACTAACAGAGACAAACACTGCTATTTTGTAGTTAGAGCTTTCCTAAGAATAAAACCAACATATAAAAGAGTAGTCAAGAGAAAGAGATTGTGTTCTAAGTGCATAATTTTAATCCTTTAAGCCAGTACTTCTTTCAAATAAATTAGCCCATAAATTTGTAGTTACATGGGCCAATGATATTTTTATTTCTTTAAGTCAAATTAAACTT